>NC_000006.12:98858668-99010183 GCF_000001405.40 Homo sapiens | reverse complement strand
CAATTTACGATTTATGATTAAATCAGTGACTGTGACATCTACATTAGATCCCTCACTTGTCACAATGAATTATTCCCATAGAGACTTCAAGGTCCTGAATTCTGAAAGAACACCGGAGAGTCAAACTATATCTCAGGTGTTACTGGTAAACCTAGGCATGCGTAACAGAAGAAAGAAACACAGTGAAAAAGAATAGAAAGAAAAGAATTGAGAAGGGGCAGGGAAAGAAGGGAGATCCTTTCCCCATACCTATTAATAATCTGTTCATGTTGACAAAAGTTTTTAATGGGGAAAAGCTGACAAGGTTAACTTTAGAAGCTCAGTATAAAATTGTTCTTATCGTAAAATCTCAAGTTGAAAAAGTATGGAAAAATATTAGAAGACATCTGCCAAAATGTTAGTTGTAATTCTTCTGTGTGGTATGATTATGGATGATCTTTTTTCCTTCCAATTTTTCTACAGTGGGCATGTATAAATTTCATAATCAGAAAAGAGTGAACTTTTTTTAATGACACAAAAATAAACCAAGGTACCATGTAATGAAATAACTCAGCCATTGTCTCCTCACTAATATTATACACTGTAAAAATTGGTGATCAGGTCCGGGTGCGGTGGCTCACGCCTGTAATCCCAGCACTTACAGAGACCGAGGCAGGCGGATCACCTGAGATCAGGAGCTCGAGACCAACCTGGCCAACATGGCGAAACCCCGTCTCTACTAAAAATACAAACATTAGCAGGGCATGGTGGCAGGTGCCTGTAATCCCAGCTACTCAGGAGACTGAGGTAGGAGAATCACTTGAACCTGGGAAGCGGAGATTGCAGTGATCCGAGATCATGCCACTGCACTCCAGCCTGGGCAACAGAGTGAGACCCCATCTCAAAAAGAAAACAAAGAAAAAAGAAAGAAAATGGTGATCAGCTTTATGCCCAGATCCCCCCGAAAGAAGGAAGTAGACATTAGAAAGAATATACTTATCTTTTTGTGTTATTTATTACCAATCTTCTAATGAAATTAAGACCTGAGGTGAGAAGTTAAAAAATGCACACACACATATATGTATACATATGTATGTGTTTATGCTTGTTATAGACCTGTCAAAGTCATCATATAAATTCTGTCTCTACAAAATATTATTTTTTTAATAGAGAAAGTGGAGGCCCAGAGAAGTTCTGTAATTTTTGCGAGGCTTCCCTGCAGGTACTGTCTCACGAACACTATTCAATACTTCTGACACCAGCCATCTTTTAGTTCACTGATCCTTGCTACCTGTCAGGGAAAAGAATGGCAGAGTTTTCTAATCTTTGAGTCACATTGATTGGGTTGAAATTTATTGGAGGTACTTACTGTTATGGTCAGTCTTCAAAATCCAGGAGTTAAAATAATAATCTGATCCAATTAAAAGGCTGCTCCCCCTCTATGGTGAGAAATTAGCATTTTTTTTGTTCGAATTTTCCAGGGAGTTTTACAATGGATTTCAGCCCTGGGCCAGTTGATGACTCTCTTGGTACTTAATTGATTTTAACTGGCAGATAGGTCATGCTTAGAAATTCTTCCTCTGCAGGCAAAGAGTTAATAAGGATCTATCTTTTTTTGTCACAATTCTATTAATCAGTGATAAAAATTAGAAGATACAGAAAAAACAACACATTCTTACTGCATTCACAGTCATTTTATATGCATATATCTTAATCCTTAAAGATACCTAAATTTTTCTCATTTTAATCTATTCTTGTATAGATTTGGTAGCTAATTGGTATTTCCACTATTATTTTTTCCCCTGTATTTGAAGACATCTCCTCCATCCTGTAGAAGTACCAGAATAAGAAATGTTTTTTTTAGACCAGGCGCGGTGGCTCAAGCCTGTAATCCCAGCACTTTGGGAGGCCGAGGCGGGCGGATCACGAGGTCAGGAGATCGAGACCATCCTGGCTAACACGGTGAAACCCCGTCTCTACTAAAAATACAAAAATTAGCCGGGCATGGTGGTGGGCTCCTGTGGTCCCAGCTACTTGGGAGGCTGAGGCAGGAGAATGGCGTGAACCCGGGAGGCGGAGCTTGCAGTGAGCCGAGATCGCACCACTGCACTCCAGCCTGGGCGTCAGAGACAGACTCCATCTCAAAAAAAAAAAAAAAAAAAAACAAAACAAAAAAAAAAACAAAACAAGAAATTGTTTTTAGTAGTTTTTTAAACATTGCTCTTTGTTTTTTCTGTTTTGTTGATATATAATCATTTACGTATTTATGGGTTCATGGGGGTGTTTGTTACCTGCATAGAATTTAGTGATCAAGTCAGGTTATTTGGAGTATCCATCACCTTGAGTGTTTATCATTTTTCATGCGTTGGTGTCATTTCAAGTTTCCTTTCTAGTTACTTTGAAATATACAAAATATTGCTGTTAAGTATAGTCACTGTAGTCTCCTATCAAACACTAGAACCTATTTCTTATATCTAACTGTATATTTGTGTCGAATTTTTAAGTGAGCTCTTACTTGCCTTATATTCCAGGTTATTTTCTATCTCTAGTTGAATGTGAATGAATTATTTTAAATGACCTTCCAAACTATTACAATACATATTACTGTCAAATGATTTGTTTTCACAGAACAATCATAAGTTAATGCCTCTTTCATCTCAGCACCACTGGATACGTCTGTCTCTCTTTATAAGGCATTTTTGATAAAAAATATAGTCACAACTACCTATGCTAATGAAGTTAATCGTCACTAATGCTTTAGAAAAGATAAAATTAAGATTGAGTTTGCCCAGCAGTAGAATGGGTTCCAGAAAACAACTTCACTAATTTTTAATAGAATCATTGTATCCTAAGGACCTTTAGATAAAGAAATTTTTTGTCGAATAGGTCTAGATTATCAAAACAATTTGTATTTCCTAGGTACAGAATCGCATATAGCAAAGAGGGATAATTTGACTTCCACTTCTCCTAATTGGATGTGTTTTATTTCTTTCTCTTGCCTGATTGCTCTGGCTAGGAGTTATAGTACTATGTTGAATGAAAGTTCTGAGAGTGGACCTCACCACTTGTCTTGTTCCAGTTCTTAAGGCAAATGCTTCCAGTTTTGCCCGTTCAGTATGATGTTGGCTGTAGGGTTGTCATAGACGGCTTTTAGTATTTTGAAGTATGCTCCTTTGATGCTAGTTTGTTGAGGATTTTTGTTATGAAGGGATGTTGACTATATAATCATATACCTAGAAAACCCTAAAGATTCCATCCAAAGACTCATACTAAATGACTACAGAGAAGTTTCAGGATACAAAAATCAGGATACAAAAATCAGTGTACAAAAAGCAGTAGCATTTCTAAACGCCAGTAACATTCAAGCTGAGAACAAAATCAAGAATCCAATTCTATCTATTATAGCCACACACATGCAAAAATAAAATATCTAGAAATACATTTAACAGGCTGGGCACTGTGGCTCATGCCTGTAATCCCAGCACTTTGGGAGGCTGAGGCAGGCGGATCACGGGGTCAGGAGATTGAGACCATTCTGGCTACGGTGAAACCCCGTCTCTACTAAAAATACAAAAAAATTAGCTGGGCATGGTGGCAGGCGCCTGTGGTCCCAGCTACTTGGGTGGCTGAGGCAGGAGAATGGCATGAACCCGGGAGGCAGAGCTTGCGGTGAGCCGAGACCACGCCACTGCACTCCAGCCTGGGCGACAGAGCGAGACTCTGTCTCAAAAAAAAAAAAAAAAAAAAAAATTAGCCGGGCGTGGTGGTGAGCGCCTGTAGTCCCAGCTACTTGGGAGGCTGAGGCAGAATGACGTGAACCCGGGAGGCGGAGCTTGCAGTGAGCTGAGATCGCGCCACTGCACTCCAGCCTGAGAAACAGAGGGGGACTCCGTCTCAAAAAAGAAAGAAAGAAAGAAATGCATTTAACCAAGGAGGTGAAAGATGTCTACAAGGAGGACTACGAAACGCTGCCGAAAGAAATCATAGACGGCACAAACAAATGGGAAAGCATTCCACGCTGGTGTGTTGAAAGAATCAATATGATTAAAATGTCCATACTGGGTCAGTCTAGAGGTAGGGAGCTGAAACGAGCCAGGACATAAAAGAAGACGAGCCCATTGCACTCAGTGTCCCAGTGGTTTTGCTATTGTGCACTCACTCATTTATTCATTCAATAACCCTTATTGAACCCCCAGCATGTGCCATATATTATCCCACGTGTTGCAGTTATGCCACTCACATCCTTGCCCTCAGCGTACTTGTCTCAAGACATGCAAATACACGGTTGCAATTCGATGTGACAGGTGAAATATTAAAGCAATGTTCTAAGTTCTAGACGGTTAAAGAAGAGAATGACCAACTAGCAGGGATGAGCGCGGACAGAGCAAGAAACAGCTTCACAGAGGAGGGGATGGTGATGCTTTGAGTTCTGAAGGATAAATAGGAATATGTTAGATGGGGGACTATTCCTGACAGAGTAAAGTTCCATTTATTTTAAAGTTAGGAAAATATAAGAATGTGCCTTGTCGGAGGTGGCGGGTAGATCAGAGTGACTGAAGCAGAACAAGTGTCCAGAGTAGTGGAAGGAGGTGAGCCCAGAGGGGCAGCCAGAGGCCAGTTCACAAAGAATCTTGTGTCACATGCCAAAGAGCTCTCAGTTAGGATTTACACACATAGTCATATTTGTTCCCTAGACAGGGTATTGACTGCAGCATGAAGAAGGGATTAGAGGGGTTCGTAACTTCAGGTGGAAAGATTAGTTGAAATAGTTCATTCAATGTATTTTTTCCACCTGTGTTTGTTGAGTGCCATTTATGCCCCCAAGCACTATTTTAGGTGCTGGAGACATGGCAGTGCAAAGGCAGAGAAAATCCCTGTCCTTATTGAGTTACACTCTAGTGTAAATAATTTTAGCAATGATGCCAGTTCATATTAAGTGATATGAAAAAAAAAAAATAAAGCATGACAGCATTAGCCTGGGGATGAGGGCTAGGTAAGATGAATGGCCAGAGAGGTTCCCTCTGAGGAGATGATGTTGAGCAGACAGCTAGATATTGTGAGGGAACTAGTCTTGTGAAGAAGAGGGGAGGGCATTCCAGAGTGAAAGCAAGCACAGAGTGCCAAGAGGGAAAGAGCTTGGAGAGCTCTGGAAGAGCAAGGAGGCTGGTGTGGCTGGAGCAGAGTGAGCCAGGGAGTGTGCTAGGAGAGGGTGGGAGACTTACATGGACA
Organism: Homo sapiens; assembly: GCF_000001405.40. NCBI lineage: Eukaryota > Metazoa > Chordata > Mammalia > Primates > Hominidae > Homo > Homo sapiens. Next base: position 99,004,975 of record NC_000006.12, on the reverse strand, counting down.
GGGAATGATCATATAGGCCACAGGAATGAGTTTAGATTTTGTTCTAAATGGGAAGGGATGCTGAGGAAAGGCTTTAAGAGTGGAGTGACTTACATTTTTAAAAGGTCACTCCAGTGTGTGAGGAGCAGGCATTGAGCAGCTGGGCTTGAATTAGGGCAGAAGCATCTGAGATGAAGAAGTAAGACTGGATTGAGGAGGCAAAATTACCAAGACTTGGTGATGAGTTGGATACATGGAGAAGAATTTATGATGGCTCCCAGGTTTCTGGTATGGTGTCTGAAAAAAAAGGAGCAGATTTAGGTAAAAGGTAAAGAGTTTAGTTTAATTTAGTAATTGAGTTTAGTTTAGATGTTTTTTATGTGTGCTTTACATACTAATGAAACATATGGACAGAATTCCTTAAAAACAGTTGGTATATGGATCTGGAGCTCAGTGGGTGGGATGTAAAGAATAAAAATACAGGTTTGTAAGTTTGGAGGGTCTGAGGTGGGTTAAAAAAATAGTACCCCTTATCTTCATCTGAGTTTGGAATCAATCAATAAATAAAATATAAAAGAAAGGGAGAGAGAAGACCAAACTGATATAGCTTACAGTGGAGAATACAGCTCATATACGCAGACAAATAGGCTTTGTAATGCTCAGCCTCAGAATTACCTTCTGGGTGACAGGTAAACTCCACAAACCCACAGATAACAAATAGTACTGAGACAATGAGGGAAGCTTTGAGCCAAGCATACCCAATTCATTCTTTCCACGTTTACCTGTTTAGTAACTTACTCTGCCAACCAAAGGGTTGACTAAGTGAGAAGAGGGAAGGGGACCAGGACGGCTTTACTCATGGAACATTTCCACCTGGAAGGAAACATCAGGAGTGAGGAGATGCATCCTCCCTACCATGCACCTCTTGAGGAAATCAGGCAAATTGAGGGCAGAGATTGTGAGGAGCAGGCAAGAATCCTGAAGCAGGAACTCTGTGACACTAGCTGCTCTAGAAGAGAGTGAGTTGGGAATGGATTGGGTGGAATCAAGGGGAGAAAGATCTCAAGAGGAAACAGATTCTCCCATTTAAAAGTGAATAAACCTGATTCTGCCTGTCACTCAAGGAGCTCCTTTAGTGTGATGATTTAATCTTCATAAAACTTGGACTTCATGAATATCAGTGTTTTCAAAGCATTTCATATTCATTTTATGATTAATAATCACCACTTACAAAACTATAACACAAATAGTATTTTACTGTTTTCTTATCAAAGAGGCAACGGGAGCTAGAGAACTTGAGAAATTTAACCAAGGTTACTCAGTTTAGTCAGGAGAAAGCTTAGTCAGGATTCTGATGGCAAGCCCTTAGGCAGTACTATCTCTGGGTACATAGTTGGAAAAATATACATGGATGATATAGGATATTCATCTCCTATTAGTGTCTGAGAAGGTGTGACTTTTCAGATATGAATAGGACAATTAAAAAGAAAGCACAAGATCTATTCTTTATAAAAGTGAAATAATTTCAATAAGTTATTCATGGATTTGATATTTGATTAGTGTTATTCTAATTCTGTGATACAGTTGGGTTCCCTTGGACCTTTTAATACAGGGGAAATTTCAAAGCTGTGGTAAAAGTGATAAAATATCTAACAAAAACATAGTTTGCATCAGTGCTAAATTGTGATTTGTATAATTATTTCACCCAATCATTCAAAAATAGCATTTAACATAAGGAATCTCAGATTTTTTTTTCTCAAAAGTGTACTTGTCCCCAGTCTTCATCAGGGCACCCTCCAACAATCTTTAAACCTTAATTAAATAAGGGCAGGAGAGAGCATCAGGCTTGGGTTTAGGATAAATATCCCTGGCTTGAACAGGAGATGTTGCTTTAATGACTTGGAATATGTCCAGAAAGCTCAGACTGGCTAGCAGGCAAATCTGACAGCTACCGGATCTTGCAGCAATAACATTCTAACCAATTAAAAGCTGAGCTAGAAATAATGGTTTGTTACTGAATGGTGTTTCAGAAACCAATTGGTCCAGATTAACCAGAGGATTAACTTTTCCAACAGAATTTAAAGGTCACAAAAAACTGACTAATTAAAGAGAAAAGCATTCAATTAGAAGGGGAAATCTTACATATAGAAATTAGTTGAACAGACCTTGCTGTATTATTTATAGATAACTAAACTGCTGTCTTATTTTATGGCAGGAGTTCATAGCCAAGGATAAATATGTTCATTATTTTAAAAATTAAATGAGCAATCAGGTACTTCTAAGAAATTCGTCTACTGAAAAATGGCATTCGTGGGTTTCTAACATCCACAAGTGTGTTCATTTTTTAAAAAGATTTTTGGGCCGGGCGCGGTGGCTCACGCCTGTAATCCCAGCACTTTGGGAGGCCGAGGCGGGTGGATCATGAGGTCAGGAGATCGAGACCATCCTGGCTAACAAGGTGAAACCCCGTCTCTACTAAAAATATAAAAAATTAGCCGGGCGCGGTGGCGGGCGCCTGTAGTCCCAGCTACTCGGGAGGCTGAGGCAGGAGAATGGCGTGAACCCGGGAAGCGGAGCTTGCAGTGAGCCGAGATTGCGCCACTGCAGTCCGCAGTCCGGCCTGGGCGACAGAGCGAGACTCCGTCTCAAAAAAAAAAAAAAAAAAAAAAAGATTTTTAGCAGGTAAATACAGCCTACTGTTGACTGATACTCAACTCTGATGGAATCAAAGTCAAGTTAATGGTTTGGCTTTTGATATGTGGGGGCATCTGAGATCAGCTCTTCAGATGGCTCTTGCATAGATAAGATCATGCCAGTGGTCCATTCTTATCTGGGCCACTGAAACAGGTGTGTGCGAAAGGAAGGCTTCAGTACCTTCAGTGCAACTTGCCAGGCTTTCACCCACTGTATCGATGATGACATTTCCTCATTGAAAATACCACTCCTTTAAGAATCCCTCTTCCTGCAGTTACCTCCCCCAACAGGATCCATCTCCTGTGGGAAACTGTGCCCCTCACACACATAGTAAGAGTAGCTTGCTATGGGTGGAAGGATGTTGACATAGACTTTAACTGAATTAATGGTGTACAGGTAAGCATTAAAATGATTTCTTGTTAATATTATTTCCTGTACCTAGCACAATGCCTGGCACATAGTGGGTTTTAATAAACATTTGTTCAGAGAAGGTTGGGTGTAGGGAGTGGAATTGTACAGAGGGAAAGAGAGAAGGGTTAGGCTGAAGGAAGCAAGGTATTGCTACAGACTGTAAGGAATTAGAATGGCCAAATAACCCAGTCAATTTCAGTTTTTATTGTACACGTGTAGAACTTGAGTTAAGTGAACTGGATTTTGATGTGACAAGTACTATTGTGTCAGAGGTGTGTGCTAGAAGTTAAAGTATGACATCCCCATTGGTTAAAGGAAACCTTTTGATCTCTCTCTGTGATACGTGTCAACAGCCCCCAGTAGGCATCATTTGATCCAACCCAAGCTCAACAAGAGATCACACTGGATCTACCAACAGACAACCAGGGAGCGGTCAATTTCCTGGACACTCCCCTTTGGTTGCTTGGCCTAATGTTCAGTCCAGCTGGAATGTTCGTACGAATGGGCTTGAACACTTGAGCACTAATAGCAGCTCCTCATGGATGAAAACCAGACTTTATGTCCATATCAAGGAGGTAATTTTCAACAAGTGTACACTGGTTTGGTTGTACTGACTGTTAAGAGATCAAGATATTTTTGTACCAGTGGTAAACGTCTGCTGCCACAAGCACTACCCACCCTCCTATACCGAGTGCTCCCAACTTGCTGCCTTGGTCTCCCTCACTATCCAGCAATGCCCGACCCAAAATGGTTCTTCCCAGACTCTGGACCATAGCTGCAGCCAGTGTCCATTCTTAGGGGTCAGTTGTTGCATGGTTTGAATATTGCTCCTGCCTACATCTGTGCTATGCTCTTTTCAGTTACTCCTCAAGTGTTTTTGTGTTTCTTCCTCACTGATTCAGTCCAGAGAGGTTACCACATTCACTCCTGTTTATTAGAAGCATATAAGCAAACTACCTGCAGTTATCAATGAAGCAACTAGTTAACATCTTTAGCCTATCGACACAGAGACTGGGCCCAAATATCCCAAGGTGAAGTTTAGAAGGCAGTCGAACTAGTTTTCTTTATACCAAATACACTTTGCTGACTGAATTATTTAAGTTGGCTAGTTAGGGAGACTGAATAAATCAGATAGTTGACAATCTCACTTTGTTCTAGGTAAACCTTACTGTTAGCATTTTATAGAAAGAAATATAAGCACTTCAAACATTTTTAGCATTAGCAAAATTCCTTTGTTGATAGTTCATTTTTCTAAGCTATCAATTTGTTTTCTTTCCTTTTAAATCAATTTTATTCAAATTGTAAGAAGTAACCATGACCAAATTAGTTGACAAATGTCCATATTTTAAAATACAAAGCCCTTATCCTTCTAGTAAAACTTCAGCTTAAACTAAAGTTATTCTTCATGTATGGTGGCAGAATGAGCCTGAGCACAGCAGTGTTTGTTCCACTTCTAAGACTCAGCTGAGCTACAGTTGATAGGTTTTGCCAGAAGTACATTCAACAAATGCTGATTGAGTTCTTATTATGAGCCACACACTTTTCTGGGTTATATGGATTCAGCAATGAGCAAAACGAGGTCCTTTCCCTCCTGGGGCTTAAATAACCCTAAACTACTATGCTATTGACTAGAAAAGAATCACAAATTCCTTAAGTGTTTTGAAGAGCTTAAAAAAAGATTCTGCTAAATTATTTTTTATCTTACTTTTCATTAATTCTAATACTTTTCCATTCTATATTGTATCCCAGCTGGCAATGCATAAACCTGTAAGGAATTTTTAAAATTTTAGAAAGATTCTTCTGGTTGTATTTACCATTTACTTATGCTACAAATCATTAGATGTATTCCTGCAACCTGTTAATAAACTGCTTTCCCCTACATGTTTCAGGAAAGGGCCACCTTATTTGTTGGCTTTGGTAAAATGTACAGTGCTTGGGAGGATGTCTCCATCCTAGAACCCTCCCTGCACTGTGCTGAATTAGCCCTCACATCGGCACCTCTGAATGCAAAGCTCTTCCCCGCTCATCTCCACCTGTGGAAGCTCTATCTTCCTGGTCATTTACAGAGTAACTTCTTTGCTCCACACTTTCTCCTTTATACATGATATGAAAGGGGAAAAAGGTGGGTTATTACACCTATCTTAGTTTGTCCATCTGCTGTAATAAAATACCATAGACTGGATGGCTTATAAACAACAGAAATTCATTTCTCCTAGTTCTGCAGGTGGGGAAGTACAAGATCAAGGCACTGGCAGGTTAGATGTCTGTTGCAGGCCTGCTTCCTCATAGATGACACCTTCTTGCTGTGTGCTCACATGATGGGAGAGGCAAGCCAGCTTTCTCAGGCCTGTTTGTATAGAGGCACTAATCTCAGCCATGAGGGCTCTGCTCTCATGATTTAATCACCTCCCAAAGGCCTTTAAATTCCTAATACCATCACCTTGGAGATTAGATTTCAATTTATGAATTTCAGGGAAGCACAAATATTCAAACCATAGCAACAGCTATGTGAAGACCAACACTTCCTTCAAAGCGTTGCTCAAGCATTGCTTGCTCCAGTAACCCTTCTCAGATTCCCTGGGATGGAGAGCACATCTCTCTTTCCTCTCTGCCATGGTTCATTATTTGGTACCCTAGGGCACTTTGTGTATGTGCCTGCCTCTTCCTCTAAAGTTGGCACTTGTAGAGGGCAAAAGCTGTATTTTAATCCCTTTTGTATTTCCCAGAGTGCCTAGCACAGTGAGCTATACAAAATAGTCACCTAATAAATGCTTATAGAATAGAATAGAATAAGTTAGTGTTAATGCAATCCTTTATCACTCACTTGAAAAGATGGAAAGAGAAAAAATTGGATTGAGCTAAACCATACTATGTTTGCAATATACTGTATCAGACATAAAGGTTGTTCAACGTATTTGTTTCAAGTTTCTTCTAGAGCATTCCTTCAAATCCTAGATATACTGTAGACTGGAGTGCTGAAGTGAATTACACATGAGGTGCCCAGTCTCACGTATACAGGATTTACAGAATTCCCTGTGCTTTGTGGGACCCCCAAAATGAGGAAAATAAAGCCCATCAAACTTTTTTTGAAATCCACTGGAGAGGAATAAAATACAAAAAGGCAATCATGCAGTAGCAGCAGCAACCAGGCTCTCTAAGTTGTGTCAAACTGCCTGACTAGTTAGAGTCGTGTTCAGGGCGTCTCTCCCGCCTGATTCTCTAACTCTCCCTCTCTCCCTCTGCTGCCTTGGGAAGCTTGCTCTCATTAAAAGGGATGAGAAACTAGCCACATCATTATATTCACTTAAGGCAGAGTTTAGCTGGTCAGTTTTTGCCACTGTCAGTAATAGTTGCCACTTTGGGATTTTGAGCTCTTATTGGCATCATGGTTTGGGTTGGGATTTTTATTTGTCTTACTTTGAAATTTACATGTCTTCAGAACAACTAAAATTCACAAGAACAAACTAATTAATGGATTCCATTTTTGACAGCTACAAGAAGACGGATGAGAAAGTAACATGCTTCTGGCAGCGTGTTATCAATTGGGAGGCAGCAGTGCATTCCCTCTATGTGGAACAGTGAGCTGGAACCGACACTGACAGATGACATGGCCCTTTGACAGTGACGCCTGTATGAGCTGACAGCTCCACTTGCAGTCAGTCAAGTCCATGCTTTGCAGTGAAATTTTAACGGGCTTGATTTGCAGAATATTTTTTGTCTACTTCTCAGCTTGTGGTAGAAGTGAACAAAAATTTCAAAGCATTCACATTAAAAGAGGATTCTAGGATCTGTTACCCAACCTTCTTTTCCCCTCAAAGCTAATAGTAATAATAGTAAATAAAACATAATCTTGGGGGCAAAAACCTGTAGGACATCTAGAAAAGGGACAATTCTCCTCCTGAAAGTTAGGTTTTCTATAATGCAAGGTAATTTATATATTATTAAAAATCTTTTAGGAATGATGAGATACCAAATTTCCCAAATTAATTATAATTTAATCATAAAATACGTGTGTATGTATGTGTATATATATACACACACATGTGCATATACACACACAAATAATATTAAAGGAGACTGATTTAATTATGCTTTTAAAACTTATTATATGATCAAGTAAACTGCTTACAAATACTAGAAAATATTTTTCTGTAAGAGAAAGAAACTTGCTCATTCACTTTCAGGTTTTAGGTCATGCTTTCCATTTTACCTTTTTACAATCTATTCTCTTTGAACAAGACATAGGCATGAAGCTGATTTCCTGTGTGACTTTTGTAAAGTTACTATTCTGTGTTTCAATTCCTTCACCAACAAAATGTAGCTAATCACCCTGTCACCACCAACATCCCTCACAGGCTAAGAGCAAGAAATAAGGGCATCAGGGGTTGCAAACTAGTGAGTGGAAGGCCAAATTGGACTGGCAGGGGTGTTGTGAATTTTTGCATTTGAATGCCCCTAGGCTGGGCAGGCACCTCCAGTTTACATAGCCTCTGCTCCCTGTCTAACACTGTATCTCTTTACACATTTATATAACTTGCTTGGGCCCTGAAGGCAATTGAATTTGTCACTGTGGCATCATCAACCAATGTGTTCGCACTACTCATAGAAACACATAATAATTCTAACATTGTTGGTTTCAAAAGACTCACCATAAATGGATAAAATAAATAGAATATAATGATGGAGACAGGCAAATACAAATGAAATAGACATACAATGACAAAGAACAGCTAAAAAGCTAATATTGATATATAATGCAAACTCTGTTCCTAGGGTAATAAGCTAGCACTGAGCCACACACTCTGCAACTGTCCTAACTAGTCCTTCCTCTTGCTCCCCACTTCCCCATAAACAAATGCAGCAGAGAGCTGAGTCTAGCAATCTTATGCCAGGCAAAGATAAATGATTCACTTGTTATTGGGATTATCTAGCCAATTAAGGTGACTGATTCAACTGCTATGGTTTTAATGTTTGTCTCCTCTAAAACTCATGTTGAAATTTAATTTCCATTGTAACAGTATTAAAAGGTGGGACCTTTTAGAGGTGATTAGGCCATGAAGGCTCCACCCTCATGGGTGGGAATGTTGCCCTTGTAAAAGGGCATGTTCAACCTCCTCTTGTCCTCTTTTGCCCTCTTACCTTTGACATGGGATGATGCAGCAAGAAAGCCCTTGCTGCAAGATGCCAGCTTCTTGATCTTGGACTTCCCAGCCTCCAGAACTGTGAGCCAGTAAATTCCTCTTTAGTGTAAATTACCCTGTCTCAGGTCTTATGTTATAGCAAAATAAAATGAACTAAGACACCAACCTTCATATATGTATAATTATAAATGATTAAAGAAAGTGACATGGAAAGCATATTAGGAGAGATGAGTTTTTGAAAAGTCTTGGAAAAAAAAATTCATAGATTGGCAGAGGAAAGGAAAAAGCCATTTTATGCAGAGAGAATGGTTTATGCAAAGGTTCAGAGATGAGAAAGTCTTGAGTTACCATTGCTAGAAAAGAGCCCAAACAGTTCATAATGAGGAAAAGATAAGGTTGGGTTCCCTGGATTAACTACATATACAAAGTATTACAGCAAGTTAATTTGTAAGGAAACAAAATTCACAGACTGCATACAAAAACCAAGCAAAATATAATGGCCTTCCATTTGTTTTATGGTAATTGGACATTTATTTCATAAAGTAAGTACTGCTATTATACCATGACCCACGATAAAAAGGAAAACTTCTCAGTTTACATTTCACCCATCATAACCTTGAATATTAAAATAAACTTACATGCTTCATTAACTAGAAAATAATTCCCTTCCATACTTTGAATTTGCCTAGGGTGTGGTTCTCGGTGAAGACAAGTTCAATTGATATGCTTGAAGAATTCTAATTAAGAAACAAGGTAATTTCAAAGGTATGACATTTAATGTTTTACTAGCATCTTTTTAATGCCTACTTTTATTCCATCCTTCAATTTCTTGAAACTTTATATGATTTTTGAGATTTAACTTTGTGATTTCTATATCAATTAAACCTTATTGGCCACCTCTTATACCAGAGATGAAAATTATCATAGGCTGATAAAGAATATTTGATTAGTACCTAGTATGCTTAGAATAATGCATCAATGAATATTTGTCAGATATCTATGTGTTAGGTGCCCTGGTGATGAAGCAGTTGATAATATAAAATAGATAATTGTGGAAATAGATTTCCTCATCAAATTAATGCTCCTTGTCGGGTTTCTCTTTTTCTTTAATCTCTGAACAAATAGTTTTTATTGGGAAATCCATTGATCAATTATATGATAGAAAAACACAAAGTGGTTATACTATAATATCAAGTATTCAGGTTACATAAGAGTTTAAAATAAGATGAGTAAATTGCAAGAAATTATTAAACATTTTCCCATTATAGATTGAAAAACAGAGGAACCAAAATTCAAATGAATAACTCCACTCAGGCAGCAGGGAGGTATTTAAGTCAGCTGGGACTCTTACACACTCAGGACATGCAGGGCTCTTGTCAGATCTCTCATTGCCATTTCTGTGGACTACAGACCATTGCATTCCCTCAGTGGAACTGAAAGCCTATTTGTAGGAGAGCCACAACCCAACACCACATTGTATGGGAATGAAAAAATGAAGCCAGTCAGGAAACACATGGTGAGGTGGATTACTTTTCTGTGACTGGATTCCTCGCCCCTGCCATTTTTAACCAGGATAACAAATGTTCTTTGTTTGGACATCATTCTGAGCATATAAGGATTCAGGACAGGATTACAGGTGGCTAAGATCAGAAGTAATGGTTCCTGAATTGAATGAGCAATATGTTCAAAACATTAATCTTTAAATTAAGTAAAAACTCTATTTGATTATTTCTGTATACCTAAATCAAGTTATCTGTGTTATGAATTTCCAAGAAAATAGGTTGTGTGGAATTATGTTGGTTGGCATATTCCTCTTTCCTCATTAGTCAAGATAAAATTGAAAAATGGAACGTTATCTGATATTAAATGACAATTTTAATTAATAAGAATTCCTTAATAGCAAATATAACTAGTAATGAGTATATTAACTACAAACAGTCTTTGTTTTTGAAAACCTATTGACTTCATTTATTTATTTTTTCTTTTCTTTCCTAAACATAATTTTGGACTCAAGTGCTTCAGTGTTTGCCTTCTCACATCTTCTGGGACTCCACTCAGTCTGTCTTACAAGAGCCAGGAAAACCAAGACAACAGCAACTGAGTCAGCTCAGGCTACAGATATCTTCCCTTCCCCTCTTCTTTTCTTCATTCATTTAACAAACATTTATTGACTGTGTGTTGGACTGTGCTTAATGCTGAAGACACAGTGATGAACAACATAGTCATGGTCACTGTCCCCTGGAGCTCACAGTCTCAGCAGAGGCAACTACTCAAGCAGTTACAATGCAGTATAGGAGGTGCCATAATAGGGAAACATAGGAAGGGAACCCAACCCAAAGGGCTGGGAAGACTTCCTGGAAGAAACGACACTTAAGCAGACACCTCAAGGATAAAAAAGAATTGGCCAGTGAAGAGGTGGAACATGTTCCTGGCAGATGGTACAGCATATGCCAAGACCCATAGGCAAGAGACTCTGAAAGAAATTCAATATGGCTAGAATAGAATGGTGGGGATGAGACTGAAGTTAGACAAATAGGCAGGAGCTAGATCACGTGAGGCCTTACAAACCATGCTAAGTTAAGACTTCATCCTTAGAGCAATGGGGGAGCCACTCCAGGAACTTCTATTTGAAGCACATATACATTATCTATACTCCCCTTGATGTCATGGGCAAGGAGGGGAAGGGGGACATAATTCCTTTCACTGACAAATACCATATTATCCTCTTTATCTCATTATGGGCTCTCTCTTTCTCCCCCCAACTCCCCCCCCCAAGTGTGTATGTGCATATGTGCTGGCAGAAAAGAATTTCCCATCTATCTGGCATTCTTTCTCCCCCAAAATGGTCTTCCAAAGGACTCTCTGTCTTCTTTAGCCTCCAAACCTCCTGTAGGAAAACAACCTGTTGCATGGCAACAGTGATGCCATCTGGAAGCAGAACTGCTATGATGACCGATGTTTCATCCCTGCATGCCACAGTATTCTGCAGCAAGATCTTCAAACTATGCTCATAGCATAGATAACCCCTCATAAAGAAACAATACCTGTAGCATGGACAACTCTTCATGAAGATGCTTACTCCCCAGTGATCATGAGATTCAAAAGAAAGTATGCAACACGACCACCTGCACATATTTCACCAAAAACACGATGTCTCCCAGCCACTGAGACATCGTGTCTGTTGGTAAGTCCCTATTAAATGTTTCTCTTTGAGAAACTAGATTTGTCAGTCTCTTTCTTCAGCTTCTCAGCTTCTTTTGTCTTTTGGGATATGTTTGCATAGATCTGTCACCGTGGAACACCTCCTTTCTAAAGTGAGTCTTCATTGATGATACTATAATATAATATATTATATTTATATTATATTATTATTGTTTCTTTTTTTTAAGAGACTGGGTCTTATTCTGTTACTCAGGCTGGAGTGCAATGGTGTGATCATAGCACATTGCAATGTTGAAATCCTGGGCTCAAGCCATCCTCCTACCTCAGCCTCCTGAGTAGCTGAGACTACAGGCATGTGCCAAAATATATATATTTTGAAGCCCTACTATTGCCAGTCATTGTGCTAAGCAGGGAGATAAAATTGTGGTCAAAGACACACTCTGCCTGCTCATTTGGAATTTACATCTTTGTCACAGTTTCTTAAAAAAAACCCCACTAAGTTAAATAAATAATAGATATTTTCCCAGTGATAAAGGAGTAAAAGTTTAGAAGCACAGAGCAATTTTTTTTTCCTAAAAAGAACCCTTCAGAGAATACAGATCTGGATTGAAATGAATTATTGGCTCATGTTTAAACCCTGTTGACATGATGATAAATAAATATTTAGGCAAGTTATAAACTGATGTGTGAAGGCCACAGCAGTATCTTAACTTCCTCATCCCCTCTCCCTGCTTCACTCAGAAATGTTTTGTGAAAATGTTTCAAACTGCTGTAGAATACTGTCACACCAAAGGCAGGTTTCCAGGAAAAAAAAAATGTGGCAGCAGCTTCTCTGCCACCACAGAGATGAATGTTTTTCAGTTATTTATATCCCATAGCATGTGACTGTATGGCAGGCCTGAAGGTGTTAGAGAGCAGGAGAGAATAGGGTACTTTCACCAAGGAGAACACGTGAAAGGCAATTGAAACATATGGTGACAAAAAGAGGAGACATGAAGGCAGGAGAAAATAAAATGTATGCAGTTTTTCACAGGATTCAATGAAGATGCATATTAATTAAACCTCACTTGAGAAATTCACATCCCATAGGTGATACGTATTTTGCTGATATGATGGGAGGTTGACTCTAAGCTTATGATAATTAGTCAATGAGTATGTATTGACTGCTTTTGATTTGTACTGGATGGCGCAGGGACATACAGAAGAACAGAAATCCAATGAGGATGTGAGAGAGTTTTGCTTTATCTTATTTCTATGCCACTCGTTCCCACTCTCTGGTGGGGAGGAGCAACTGATCCCTGGGGTGAAGCTGCCAACACCTTGGAAAACACTCAGGGTCAGGTACTCTTCCCTCTGGTTTCTCTCATGCTGTTCTGGGACTTCCTCATATTGGCCAAAGCTTTAGAGAGTTAAAAAAGGACACTTCTGTAATGAGGCTGTAGATGCTGCGATATGGACATTCTTTATCCAGGAACACTTGGGATGGGGTTACCATCTATTGAAGGCTCATCTGGCTAACAGAAATGCTGGGGAAAACTTTTACTGAATTGAAAGTGCGTTTCAAGTAATGTTCCAAAATCTGACTATCCATCAGAATCCCTGTAAGGGCTTTTAAAAATATGCACGCATAGCCTAATACCTGACCTACTGACTGATTCAGAAGATTCAGAGCACCAGAATCTTGATTTTCAAAAAGATTCCCCAGGTGAGTCTTATGCAACCTACACTTTGATATGTTTGGAAAAGACTAAATGGCAACCCATACAAAGACTCTGCTGTTTAATACTGAACACTTTACCTTTTGAATTTCATTTCATTTCAACAATGATATTTTAAATATCTACCGGGTGCTATTCAGAAGCCATCTATAAAGATGTTTGGAAGTGTTTTTTGTTTGTTTGTTTTTGAGACAGAGTCTCACTTTGTCTCCCAGGCTGCAGTGCAATGGCACAATCTCGGCTCACTGCAACCCCTGCTTCCTGGGTTCAAGCGATTCTCCTGCCTCAGCCTTCCGAGTAGGTGGGATTACAGGTGCCTGCAACCACATCTGGCTAATTTTTGTATTTTTAGTAGAGATGGGGTTTCACCATGTTGGCCAGGCTGGTCTTGAACTCCCAACCTCAAGTGATCCACCTGCCTCGGCCTCCCAAAGTGCTAGGATTACAGGTATGCACCACTGCGCCCAGCCCAGAAGTGTTTTTTTAAATGTAAATTAACAACTGTAATCCTTAGCCTGTGCTGAGCCTATCACAGACATCAGCTAAACAGTTACAACAGCCCTATGAGGTAGATACTACTATTATCCCATTTACAGATGGAAACACTGAGGCTTAGGCAGTTTAAATATCTTGACTAAGTCACGTCAGGATTTGAATTCAGGTAAGTATAACTCAAGAGCCTTGAGCTCGTAACCTTTCTGCCTATTGGATCTCTCTATATACTTTACCTTAGAAAGAAACACTATTCAGTGTATTGTTAAAGTAACTGGAAAAATTATCGCTTTCTGGATAAATGCTTTAAGTGGGCTACTTGCCTAAAGAACTATTTTTTAAAGTTAAATTAGTGGGTGAGCAATATGTCAGATCTACTCACAGGTAAGAATCCAAATTTATAATATTGCTGAATTAAATATTTATGAATACGAGTAGACAGTTTCTTATTTACATAGATCGGTGTGAATATAGCCAAATATAGATGTCTATAATTTTTTCCTCAATCAACCTTTTCCTAGAATTCCTACTTTGATATATTTTAGCTGACTTATATTTACATCAATGCTGTGGTGTTTATGCACTTCAAAGTTGGCAGATTTTAAGGTATCTTCTAAATTTGCCTGTGTCCAAATTTAGACAAATAACAAAATGACCTTGATGCAAATGCCACACTTTATTGAATTATGGGAAATAATATATGTGACCACAGAAGAGGGTACATCAGTTTGATCATGCTTTTTAAAATTATCTATTTTTAGTACAGACCTATATAAAATAAATGTTTTCATATAAGGTTATGCTGTTTGCTAATGATTTTGTTTTGGCCAGAAAAGAGAGTATGAAAGATAAAAAAGCATTTATAATAAACCCGTTGGAAACCAATAATATATGTCATAATCTGAGAAAATCCTTCACTTTTTAATTACATATTTAATTATAGTGTGACTGAGCAGGTTACTTAACCTCTTTGTACTTCAGCTCCCTTATCAGCAAAATAGAGTTGAGAGTAGTACCCTCCTCTCTGGGTGGTAGAAAAGATGAAATGAAATAGTGCATGTAAAGCTGTTTCAACAGTACTTGTCACAGAGTAGGCACCCAATATTAATGGCTCTCATTATTAATTCAATTCAGCAAATATTCACTGAATGACAATCATAAAAACAATTGATCATTTTACAAATAATAGCTTGTATCTCAGACACTAAGCCACACACTATATTCATATTATCTCATTAAATGTTCATAATAACTCCATAGAGTCAGTATACTTTTAATCTCATTTTACAGATGAATAGACAGGCTTAGGGAGGTGATATAGTTAGAAGATGCTGATACCAGTGTTTTAACAAGCAGTCGAACTCCCTGGCCCTCCTGACTACCAGACTGTGACTCTATATCTAGTACCACACCTGGCACTGGAAGGCAATGGTGAGTTGAAGAGCCAGGGTTGCTTACCCTTGGGAAGGCTACCGTCTAGAAGAGAAGGCAGCCATCAATCAAAACATTACAAAAATAATTATGATCTGATGCTTTTCTGAGGAATTGACATTTAAACGGATTACAGATCCCCCAAGGAGTTAGCCTAGTAAAGGAAGGGTGGTAGCCACTAGGGGAACATTTCAGGTCAAAGAACAGTACAAGCAAAGCCCAGAGGTGGGAAGGAACATGGCTCACTCCAGGAAATGCCATTCAGCTTGAAACAGCAGAACACTCATGTGAGGAGATCACTTTTAATCCAAGCAATAATAACAGAGGGAGATATTCCACAGAGGAAGAACTTCTGAGTAATGGGGCAAGAGAATCTTCCAAATCACAGTCAACACAGAAAACATGTAAAACCTAAAACCTGAAGAGTTATAATTCCATTCTTGTCATGGGCACCGCAGACATTCATGGACACGAGAAACTCATAAACCTAACGAAAAGCAGGATTTTATAGGAGTCATTTGAAAATAAATTTGCATGTAAAGGGTCATGCCTCTAGTCAAAGGACCAGCAGATTATGGTTTGTAAGCCAAATCCAATTGTCTATCTGTTCTTTTACAACCCACAAGCTATGAATAGTTTGTGCATACATTCTTTAATGGTTGAAAATCATTCCAAAAGAGAATAATATTTCACAACGTATGAAAATCAGGTGAACTTCACATTTTAGTGGCCATAAGTAAAATTTGAGTAGAACACATCTACATCCATTTATTCATATTGCCTCTGGCCACTTTTATGGTACACAGGCAGAGCTGAGTAGTTGTGACAGAGACTGCATGGTCTGAAAGACCTAAAGTATTTCCTACCTCCTATATGGCCCTTTACAGGAAAAGTTTGCCAAGCCTTAATCCAGCCTATCGTCATTGCTGAGAACTATGTAGTTGCAAAAAGGAATTTTAAAAATCGGTACAAATGCCCCAATGTCTACAAGGCAAAAAAGTCTTTGCATTTTAAAACCTAGACTTTGAACCATTGCAGAAATCGAAGGAGCAATCTCAGTGCAATTAGTGTATAATTTTCTATACAAAGAAATTGCCAGCCCAGCAAGTTCTAGTGTGGATCTGTGATGCAAGGCAGAGTTAGTGGCTGTCTTGCTTGCCTTTGTCTATCCAGTGCCTAGACAAATGCCTTGTTCATAGTAGTATATGTTCAATAAATATTTGTTGGATGAACCATTGACATGTCAAATAGATGAGGCAGAATCAGTATAATGAAAGATAAGGCTTTTGGGCAGCATTAGAATAGCAACACCACCCTAGCTTCCTAGCTGAGAGCCTCACTGATTCTTTAGTGGTAAAAGACCATGGTTATACCTATAATCAATTGTGGAGCAGTCTGGTATTGATAGAGTAGAAACATAATCACTTTTCCCCTTTCAAATCACAGCTTTTAACTACAATCTGAAAAATTTTTCTTTCTCATCATTCCATAAGAACATTATCAACAGTCTCTTTTGATTAAAAAGTCCATTCTAATTGAAACTTCAGTCTCACACCTGATTTAGTGTTCACTTCTTCTTCCCTCCCCAGCATCAGCCTGGCATCAGCCTAGCTTTGATAGAGGGACTTGGCTTCTTCCCCTTTTCCTCTCACAGGTTTGCACAAGGAGGAGGACAATGTAAAGGGAACAGAAGCTCTTATTTACCTGGGTGTAGCCATGGGCCTGTCAGCTGTCTCTGCTTTCCTGGCCAGGAATGACCCTCTGGGTGGCAGGTATCCATATCCTGTCTCTCTCATGAGATGAAGGTGTTCCAGGTGTTCGACAATGAGGGTTCTTGCTCTTTAGGAGACTTTGCAGGGATGTTGCATGTCCCACTGCACCGTGCCCTGACTTTTGAGGCTCACTTGGCTCATCTCTTCCAATGCCCCTACTTTCTTCTCTAGGAATACACCCCACTATGTCTTGATTCCAGTGTCCTCTCACTGTTGAGTTAAGTTCAGCTAATTATGTCCTTTGTGTCCATTTGATCCATGGAGAACCCAGCCATCTTTGCCAGACCAAATGGTGGGAGTAAGGCCACTTGTATAGTCTTCTCCTCACCTTGCCATCTCGCTCTGTTCTTTCTACTCAAAAAGGCACTGCGAGTAATGTAAGTACATGTTCAACCAGAGAGTGAGAGGCCAGTCTCTTCTTTTGACAGACAATCTCTACAAGCAATCCTCTTAAAGCCTTCTTCCTAATTTGGAAACTGTTAGGAAAGAGGAAATAGAAAGAAAACTCACAGTGTTCCCCACTGAGTTGATAACTTATGACTCCAGTAATTCCTTTGAATTCTCCCTCCCTGTTGTTTGGCCAATTCTTAATAAGCTCTGAGGAGGTATTTGTTTTTAATTGTTTTCTGATCTCTTTATAATATGAGGTAATTGATTCCTCTTTAGTTTCAGTCTTGGGTCCTAGATGCCAATTCCAGGGGAATAAAAAATATTTCTAATTAATATCTTATTATATCTTTCACATTTTTCAGTTTACTGTTCACAATTTATGCTACCACCTGACATCTTGAGGGGAGGAGGGGAGGCATTTCCTCAAACCCCAGCTTCTGAACACAGGCCTCCCTTCTGGCTCTATAAGTCTTCCATCCCATATATTCGTATATTCTTTCTGCTGATATTTTTGTGGCTTACTAGTGCCAGGTGCTTTTTGGGGGATGGGGGCAATAAAGAAAACAGAAAAATTGGCTACCCCCATGGAGATTACACTCTAGTTTAGAGCAAACATTCTCCAAACATTCTAGTTTAGAGCAAACATTCTCCAGGAGTTTAGCCGTAAGTCCTTTCAGGTTCTAAGGTATAATAATCTACCTACATGAATGTCCTGGGCTGGCCCAGATTCTTGTCCTTCTTCTGTCTGTCTGTCTGTCTCTCTCATTGACTAATTCTTAATCTGTCTTAGCTATACTCCTTTGGCTACCTACAAGACCTCTTTCTTTCTAAAACTGTCCTCTGCCTCTTGATCCACTCCACTGAGTTTAATTTTGATCTCTTGTACCCTGAAACGAGAACCACTGAACTCCTGGGTGATCCACACCGCTTCCTCATCTTTTAGAATAGATGTCTCCTGCCCCTTTGCTCCCACAGCTTTTGGCCATGCCTCCATTAGAGCATTGACCATACTTGAGGTCAGGGACTAGGTCATTCCTTTTTGTAACTCTCTCCCCCTCACAGACGCACACATACCACCAACTCAACCTCCATCACCATCACCCCCACCCATGCTACAGCTGTCAACACTACCATCTTTGTGCGTTGGACAGAGTAAGAATTCAACAGAAACTGTTTGAGTTGAACTGTTTATCTATTAGCAATTAACCTTTCACAATGCCAATGTAGTCTTTTAATAACTCTGCCAGGTCATGCAATATAAAGCCTCTTCCACTTCCAAGCTGGCAATGAGGACAATTCACTGCAGATGATTCTATGGGAAGTGACTGACTCTCACTGCTCAGCTCCCCAGTAGCTGTGACTATTGTAAGAATAACCAGAGGCCTCCAAATTCCATGTCCTCTTATGATCCATGAACTTGAGAAAGATAGATACATAAAGGAGAGATCTGTTTCAAAAAAGCTTTGCAGTGTTAAGCCAGCCTTTGAAACCTTATTTATTGTGTTTCATAATACGTCAATTTAGGACTCATGTTTGGTCAACTCTGCTAAAAAATGTTAGAATTGCAATCTGAGCTTCCTTTGTTAGTTTGAATTTTCCATAAAAGAATTTCTTCTATAATGAAAATAACCAAAAGGGCTTTCATTCATGAAAATATTTGAGGCATCTGAAAGCCTAGTACATGTAGGAGTACTTTTGTACTGGTCTTTTTGAAGGCAATTTCTTTTAACTCTTTTTTAACTGTATCAAAAATGTCATGACAGCTCTCTCGGTACTTGCTTCTTTACAAATGACCAAAAAATAGATGCTAATTTTATAAAAATATATTTCACTGGGAATGGACAAAAGTGAAGGGTAGATCAAGGTTAGTCACAGTCAAAAGAAAATAAAGATCAAAAAGCCTCCTGGGGTAATATGCTGAAAAAAAATGAATTTTCCAATGCCAATTTATGGCAAATTTTCTATGTCAATTACTGATTAAACAAAAGAATAAATAGAGAGCTTTACATGCCACTTGTTCTCCACCTGACTTGGAGAAATTGTGAACTGTACACACTTTCCCTAATTTTCCCCCTCGTTACTTGAAACTGAGCCAAAGCCTTGGCCATTGAGTTAGAGAATTGGAAGAGCAATCCCTGGAACCCTTAGCCACTCATTGTTCATTAGTAATGTGGTCTTTCAGGAGATCTTGGAGGAAAAAAGTCAAGTTTAACATTACAGAGGAGAATGTAAAGGAGGATTACATGAGGGATAGACATGGAGGGGATGATAGTCATTAATTTAAAGTGGTTTAGAACAGAGCTGGCTGTTATTTGTTTCTACTTGAGAAAACAGTAGATGATTACCCTGTTAATCCATTCAGTCATGTTACAAATATTTATTTTTCATCTATTATGTGCCGTGATGAAGAGAAATAGATAACTAAAGCTAGAGAAAAAAGCACTCAGGTAATAAAATTAAACTCACTTATTTTTAAATTTTTAAATTTTTAAATTCTGGCTTCCATGAAACCTTAAACATTTTTATATTTCTGGGGTTTTCTCAGAATTATGAAAGGCAAAGCAGAGAGGTTATGTCAGTGTGTTGTTGAAAATCACAGGATTGGTGATTACATTTGGTGTATCTCATAAAACAAAGTAAGTATCTAACATATTAGAAAATTAAAATTTTAATAATAAAATTGTTTATAATTGTAATAATATGTTAAGAGGGAGATTCTTTCCTTTCTATCCCTACAGAATAAATTCCAAACAAACATATATGAATAATTCAATAGCTTAGTAATTAAAAATACAAATTAAAATAGCGATGAGATACCTTTTTGCTTCAAATTGATAAATATCAATTTACAGTGATAGCGACTGTTGTTGGTGAGAGTTCTTGAAAATAGGCAACCTCAAATAGCTATTGGTAGAGGTGTGAAGTCATACAGTCTTTCTGGAGGACATTTTAATAAATATAAAAAGCTCTAAAAGTATTCATTCTTTTTAATCCCGCACTTCTACTTTGAGGAATGAAAGCTATACAAAGAGATAAATATCCAAGGATGTTTATCACAGCATTACTTAAATAGCTCAAAATTATAATCCTCTAAATGTCCAACAGTAGAGAATTGCTAAAAAAAATTAGATTGTATCCATATTTTGCTATATTTTAAAGTAATTCAAATCACACTGTAGAATTGTCAATGCATGGAGAAATGTTCACAATGTATTAAGCAAAAAAACCCTAAATGATGTAGAAGTGTATTAATATGTGTGAATTAGTCTGCTTGGGCTGGGCTGGCGTAACAAATACCATCAACTGGGTGGCTTAAACAACAGAAATTTATTTCTGGTAGTTCTGGAGGCTGGAAGTTCAAGATCAAAGTGTCAGTTGATCTGGTTCCTGGTGAGGGCTGTCTGCCTGGCTCACAGATGGCTGCCTTCTTGCTGTGACCTCACATGGCTTGGGAAGGGATGTGGCAGGGAGTTCTCTGGTATCTCTTCTTATAAAAACATTAGTCCTATCAGGCTAGGGCTTTGCCCTTTTGACCTCATTTAATATTAACTACCTTCCACAGGCCCTATCTCCAAATACACTGGGGCTTAGGGCTTCAATATTTGAATCTGGAGAGTACACAAGCATTCAGTTCATAATAACACATATATTGTCAAATATACAATGTGTGCTATATATACGTGGGAAAGAAGCCAGAAGGATATACATGAGGTATATTAAAATGTTAACAATGTTTGTGTTTGGGTAGTAGGATTAAGGGTAGTTTATGTTTTTTCTTTCTTTGTACATTTCTGTCATTTCAAAATGTTCTATTGAAAATGTATCGGAAAAACACTACAAACAGCATATGTGTTTTTAATTTCGACACCATAGAACCAGCCCTCACTGAGCAGACCATGTGCAGAGCAGGCTGCCCATTTCAGGGCTGGCCCTGGAATCACTCTGGGCAATGTATGCACAGCACAGTAGGGAACAGAGAAACTTGCTGAACTTCCAAAGGAACCCATAAGAGATAATACAAAGACAAAGCTTTCATGGGATTTCAAGAAACAGCTACTTTTCCAGGAAAGCCTTATTATAAACGAGGTTTCCAAAGAATATGAAAGCCAAATAGGAATAACTAACGCTTGAGTGGCACTTTTAACTTTTCCAAAGCACTCTCCCATTTATTAATTCATTTGATCTTCATAACAACTATGCAGGCAGGGCGTCTATTAGTATTCCTATTTTAACAATGAAGACATAAAGGTAGAGAGCGATTAAGAGGCAAACTCCAATCACAATTAGCAAAGTGGGATCCAGATGTCCCAGCTCTCAGTCCAGCACTCCTGCCCCTGCCTGGGCACCCTCACACATAACACAGCCTCTGGGAAAATCTAGGATTTTTTCAGCTCTTATTAAAAGAAAAAATTTCCTTAGCTTTCTTGTGAAAAGAATGAAGCCAAATAGGGCTGTAAGAAATAATGTAATTCAAAAGGCAAAATACAGCCTGCTATCACCCAGACGGAAGGCTTTGCAGCTAGTGTGTTATGTGGTTATTTCTGGTCTTAAGAAGGTGTCAGTTTTTTCATTGACTATATACTGTTGCTCATTTGCCCTGAGACCCAGACAGGTAACAACTCTTTGAAAGCTAAGTGTAGTGAATCCCACCATGGTAAAGTGCTTTAGGGACAGTGAGTTGTGTAATATAAAATTAAATGGTCCTAACCTCCATCTTAATTAAGAGTGATTTCCTATCTAAGGATATTGTTTTATATACTAGATGACTTCACAGTTCTACTTAAATGCAGTGTAAGAATATAATCTAAATCATTTTTTTTTGTTTTAAACCCTCAAATATGGCAGCTTGGGAGATAGTTTACAATTCTATTTTTAATGAACTGATTTAACTATAGATATTATAACTGCAAATAAAACACATTTACAAAAAGCTGTTGTCTTTAGGATTGTAAATCTGGCAAGGTTTTCAGCAGTAGAGTCTTAGATAAATAAAAAGTTGCATCTTTTTAAACTGTGGGTGTTAATTGGGCTTTTCTTATCATCATGAAGAATAAAAGCAGATGTTGATCTGAAACAATGCCTTATCATGCATAGTGGTCTTAAGGGAATGCATTTTCTTTGATGCCCTTATTTGTTCTGATTTATTATCAGCCAGATTTACCTGCTGGTCACATACTTATTCTGACTTGGAAATACCAACCAATGGTAATTCAGGAGATAGCTATTACTAGAGAGAAAGTATCCAACAAGAATGTCACAAACGTGTTTTGTCAGTGGACTATAGCCGTGTCAAGGTGAGATAAACTAATCGTTTCACCTTGACATGCTAAATTAAGTAGTGTGAAGAAATCAGAAGACAATGGTGAATAAAATGAGCTGAGTGAATAACTTGCTATTTCCTTGCATAAATAAATTTTTTTGTGATGATTAGAGCTTAGTGAATAAGGTCAGGGATGGGGGTGGGAGAGGCAATTATTTCACATAACAGAAGAAAGCATCTATAATTATTTCATGATGACTATTTAGAGTCAAACAGAAGTTATCAGAAGGGATGTAGTTGTATATTTATTTAGTAAGCTAGGAAAGGCAGACTTTGCCATTCAAACTCTGAAAAGTTGGATTCAAACCCATCTCTTTCCAAATGAAAAAGAAATACTATAAACATGGTCATTTAGGAGAAGATCAAGTACTAAGAGAATGAATGTAAATACTAGAACCTGTTGGGTTTAAAGCAAGTAGTAGAAGATGAACAAAAACAAGAAAGCTTGCTCTTGTTGTCCTCTCTTTCTTGATTGTACTCTTTTTCTCCTTCATTTAGTTCATTTCACTTCAAAGACAGTATTTATTGAGCATTTTCTAAGTTCAAGGTTCCATGCAGATAGGCCCTGTGAATGCAGCAGAATCAGTTACTACACACCGGGAACTCTAGGATAGGGAGGTAGTTCTAGTAGATGAATTTCTTGCTTTATTTAAGTGCTGCCCAACTGGGAGACTTTCCACATCAGATTGGATATGAAAAAGTAGCCTCAAAGCAGCTAATCAAGGCTGAACAAAACAAATACATATTACTAGATAAAATGTTGATGAGCAACAGCTGCTTTTTGGGAGTGTCCATTTAGCCTCTCCCTCAGCTGTGTGTGCATATGTATGTACATGTACATGTTCATGTATATGTGTACATGGATATGTGAGTGAGTACATGTCTGTGTGTACATATGTGTGTATTTCTGTATGTATATATATGTATGTGCCTCTAGTAGATCAACAGTCAGTATGGCATGGAATCTTGCAAGTTTAAGTGCATAAGTCCAGGACTTTAACAATTCTACTTTTATATTACTATTTATTCTATTTCTAAAGTTGGTGATTTTCCATTGTGTATGTATTCTAACAGAAAGCTTCCCCAAATTTCCCTCACTTACATTGTTCCCACTTGCGGGTTTACATTATGCCAACATTTTGGTTGAAACTTCTCTTGCCTACCCTAACTCTCTTTGGTTTATACTCTTTTTTTTTTAACCAATCCTGACTGAAAAAATACTTTACCAAAGCTAGTGCAGCACACATGTACTTGGAATTTTTTTGCTTTCCTTACAGAGGAGCAAGCTGACAATGTCACTGAGAGTTGTAACATTGCATTTTTTTTTAAATGGGGCAAAGCAAGGTCAAATGCCAAACCTATTATGCTTGGCTGCTGCTTACAAGAGTGTGAATTCAGGTTTCCTGCTTAGCACCATGTAAGTGTCATGACATGCCATTGTCATAGGAAGGGCACCGGGCTTAGGCTATGTAGTGAAGGGAGTCTTCCTGGAGGAGGCACTGTCTAAACTGAGATGTGAAAGATGAGTAGGAGCTAGTCAGGCAAAAGGGAGAGGGAGAGAAAGCATATTTCAGGTAGAGGGCCCAACAAGGGTTATTTCAGAGGTTAGAGAAAGTTATACGTTTAAGAAGCTTGTATTAGTTTGCTAGGGCTGCCATAAGAAAAGGCTGGATGGCTTAAACAACTGAGGTTTATTTTCTCAGCATCCTGGCAGCTAGAAGTCTAAGATTAAGCTGCTAGCATGGTTGGTTTCCCCTGAGACCTCTCTCCTAGGCTTACGGATGCCTACGTCCCCTCTTGCTGCCTCTTCACATGGTTTTTTGTGTGCACACTCGTATCCCTGATATCTCTCCTTTTGTGATTAAATTTCTTCTTCTTATAAGGACACCAGACAGACTGGATTAAGGCCCATTTTAACAGCCTCATTTTAACTTAGTCATCTCTTTAAAGGTTCTAACTCCAAATACGGTCACATTCTGCATTTGTACTACACTGCATAAATACTGGGGATTCAACATATGAATTTTGGGGGCCACAATTCAGCCCCATAACACAACTTAATGCAAAATTCAATATTATAAAAGCACTTATTAAAGACAAAATATATGCCTAAATCTTACAACCAAACCACAACATCAAACACATCAATATTCTGAGACAACTCAAGAGATTGCATTAACTGTTTCACAAGGAACTACGGGTCTATCTCCTCTCCCTTCCAAATGGAACTGAAGACAATACTTTTTCTACATGAGTTGAAGATCTGGGGTTAAAAACATCTTAGCAACTTGATAGTAGCAGTTTCTGGAATATTTGTTAGAAAAACAAAACCTCTGCTTTAAACCTGAAGGACTTTGGGGAAGAACTAACAACACTACCACGTGTGATTCTTGTCCAAGCACCTAGAGTGACATGGCCGTGAAAAGGCCTGTAGGCCAAGAGTCACTTTTGTTAGCTGATGACACAGAGTGTCATCATTTTTATTAAGACTAAAGAAAGTCTGTACATGTATAGAGCATATGCTGTCTGGGTAAACTTGTAATGAAAAAGGTAATCACAAATAAGGCTTGGGCCTTTAGGGCATATCACGATGGTCTAACTAAGAGAGTGACCTCTGCCTGAGCTGTCAAGAGACACAATTTGAGTACAACAAGTTCTGCTGCTTACTGTGATCCTGATGTTGCTTTTGGCACTGATATTCTGTGATTCTATATCCCTAGTATATCAAGTCATGTCTGAAAAGTATCACAGCTAAAGAGTTAAGCTGTACTTATTCTTTGTCAACATCTCCAATCACGAACGATGAGCTGACGTCAGAAAGCTGGCCTCACATACCCCCAGCCCTGAGACCATGGGGATGGCACTATTAACGGTAGGACACCTCACTTTTCTTTTCTGGGTCTCTGGGCACTAGGCAGTGAAACCGTGCAAAACTTAGAAAGCTCTTGCCTTCATGATTTATGGCTATAGCCACTTCTTTATTCCCTTACTTTCATAAGCACCAAATTCTGTTAGAAAACTTAGGGGAAAATCTGCCAATCCTGGACTATTTTGAGGTTTCTTCATCATCTCTTGACCTTTGATTTGACAAGCCAAATAGCAAAATGAAAAATGGGCTCTGTAGTCTTGCCTATGATTACCAGCCAGGACAGGCAGCATCTGGAAGGAAAAACAAAAAAGCCACCAACCATTTGGAGTAAAAGGCTCTGAGCTAGTAGCAAAGGAGAAACTTGAGAATTTGGACACAATGTCCCAATAAAGGAAAGTAAATTATTTTAAGTTTGACAAATTATGTTTCTAATTTGCATCTATCTTTGTGAGATAGAAATGGAAGCTTCAGGAATTGCATGCTGTTTTAAGTGGCCGTCTGTATCAGGCACATCTTAAAGGGTAATTTTGACATTCTTGACTTCTACGAGAGTGAGGCTATTGGGTCTATATAATCTACTTGGTATTATTAATATCTTTAAGATAGTCTGCAAAGTTAACATTTTAAAATTTTGCTTGCCAACAATCATGATTTTCCTGTATCGTGTTGTAATTTTGTATGAACATCAAGGTATTTCAGTATTGTTGACAGTTTTCCATTCTTGCTATATATAACATGTCTAAATTTGAAAGTGAAAGCAAAGTAATGAGGAAATTTGCAAAGCACAGAAATATATTCCACTCGTTCCCTTCCTGAATTTTTCCTTGCAGGTAAGGAAGAAGGTGCAATGTGTCAGTTAATCTATTTAAATGAAACCATAGCTTTTTAAGATTTGAGGGAAAATATTTTTCAGACATTTACATACATAAACAATTGCTCTATGAAAGCTAAACTTAGTCATACAATCTACCTAGATCTTTAGAACATGCACATACATTAAACCACTTCAAAATTAATAAAACTCTCTAAATTATGCATGGCGCAAAGGGTGAAAAAAGTTGATAACAGGAACTGCTGCCTGGCTGGTGCTATGCATTTGGTAATGCACTGAGAGCAACCCTATGGCTATGCACTAGAGAAGATCATAATAAGGTATAATTGTTGCTTGCTCATTTGTTCGAACTCTAAAACTATATCAAATAACACTTAATTATACACATAGAATACCATTACAGCAAAGAACTCACACTTGAATAGCTCAGTATAAGTGAGGACATTTAATATTATTTGGCTCCAATAGGTGCAAAAAAGATACAAAGTAGCAGCTGCTAATTAATCTGGAGTTCTAGGTTTACAACCTCAAAAGAAAATCTAAAGAATATTTCCTGGAGTTTGAATATGTAAAGTTTTAACTGCTCCATCTGGTACATGCCCTCTGATTACCCACAATGTTGGCTGGCAGTTTGAGGGACGCATTTGATAGCCAGCCAAGTTTAAAGGTCTATTGGAGGTAAAACAATGCCCACCCTTTAACAAGAGTGCCATTGTTCCTTAACAATGAAGCTCTCTGGCTTATTTGAATGTCAACAATTCAGAAAAGTTGATGTTTGGAGCCATCAAATAAAATGTTTTTGTGAAACAGTTTATTATTTCAGTGGTAATTATTTGAATCATTCATGGTAAAGGATGTTTGCTAATGAGAGCTTGGCTGCTGTAAATTCCAGAGAGATTGAATGCTCTTTGTGCTGACAAAAAGACCCAAATCACTGGAGAGTGACTGACTGGACAAATCATTCATCTATGCAAATGCCAGCTGAAATGGTCAGATGCATTTATTACCCTCCTCATTATAGTAAACAAGGCAGGAATCGTGACTGGCAGTTATCAACTTGCCCTGAAGTATGATTTGTTCTCCTACTACTATTTAAATGAGAGGAAAAAAGGCATGCCACCAGGGACTTTGTTGGTTTATAAAAGAGTAAATGTCACATAGCCCAGTGCTTAAAGACTTTTGATTGACAAATGTTTTATTTGACATATCAAACAGTGATGGTTTTCATATCAAATAGTCCATATTTGTTAGCAAAAATCTTAACCCCTTGAAGTTTGGCCAATGCTTTTAGCTCGCTTCTGCCAATGCTTAGAAACTAGAACACAGATGGCAAGTTACATTAAAGGCAATACCAAATATCTCTACACATAATGTGCAAAGACCTAAAAATACTCTGCATTGGGTGACAGAAATGACACAGTGTTTTATCACAACACATATAGTGTAAAATGTTCTTCTGAACTGATAATGCAAATTAAAGTGATGTTGACCTACTTGCACTTACTAAGTATTCTTCTGCTGTTTAGTGCAAGATAAGCTAAACATTAAAGAATTTATACAGCATATGTCACAGTGAAATCTAAATTGTCTGGTGTAACTCTTCTTAAATGTCACAACAGTGTCACAACACGCTCAGGGTTTCAGGGCTTACAGTTAAAGCCACAGCACCCTTACATAACCCCTTGTTCTCATATGCTCAAAACTTTTCCCTTCTTGTTTCCTGTGACTTAAGTTTTATATGCTTCATTTCAGCCTGGTTGATATTTACAAGTATACCTCATAATACAGAAGCATGCCAGGCAGATATGTGAGCTTACAGAATTTGTAATCGAGGTTGTCACTTGATAAACATCATATGACAACTTGCCTGGGAGACACTTAGGGCGATGTGTTCCCACACATGCTCTCCTCTCCTTTGTTGCTATATTTTAGGCTGTCACCACTGCTGGAGTTTGGTGCCTCTTCATTCTTTGAACTGCGATGGAACTGTTCATTTTCAAAAGCCAGAAGTAACTACAATCACTGGAAAAGGTTCTAAACAAACCTAAAACTGTGGTTTGGTTTCCTAGCATAGAATACAATATGAAATTTTCATGGAAACGAAAGGTTTTTCAGGCCATTGTGTTGCATTCAGTTAAGCTGATGTATTTTTTGGCTAGTGTATTATTATTCAAAACATGAAAATACATTTAGTAGCCTTCACTGATATAATTTGAGTATTTAAATATGCATTTTATCAGAAGGAATAATAGCATCCCTCCTTTAAATATATGATTATAAAAGTTTGGTGGTTCTTAAGTAAAATCATATCATCTTGGATTTGAACTTTGTCCATAGAAACATTTCTATTTTTATGATAAGTTGTAATCACAAAAGAGAATATAATTGTTAGGGGATGACACTTATTCCTAATGCTCCTGCTTCCTTCCATGTGCATGGGGGGCCATCCATTAGGAAACCCTCAGCCTATGTTGTCCCCATCACTCAGTGGTTTCTGGGCCTGGTGCACTTGGGAAAAGACTATCCTTTTCTCTGACTATCACTTTGGGGTACATCTGCCTGGAGAAAGCATGAGCTCTGATCTGCCCCTGGAGGGGGAAGGTTGGATCTTCAGCTCCTCCTGACACTGAGTGTAAATCTGCCTAATTCTGGGTGCAGCATTAGGAAGCCCACAGGAATGCCATGGTCTTCAGTAGTTCCATCGGAAATTTGATCGTTATCCTGTTGACTCTTTTATCTCTCAGTCAGTTCAGAACTTGGATGAGCAGAAGAAGTATATTAATATTAATGTACAATGAAATTTATTTCATTAACAAGGTTTTGAGAACATATTTCTTCTGCACAGGATGGCACAAATGAATTAAGAAAGTCTGGACTCAGCTGGCTCTGGTAAGTTCAGAGATTTGGGGGTTGAACAAGAAAGAGATGGGATCATGGGAAGTAGCAACACAAAATAAAGTTACTGGGTAGTGCCTTGATAGGGCTGCATGAGAGGGGAAGTCCCTTCTAGCGAGCTACCTTCCAGTAACAGCAGCAAGAGGCCACCACCTAAAAAAGGGTATAGGGCAGGGAAACTCACAAGGGAGAGGGCAAAATCAGAGAGGGGGCTTCCAGGTCTAAGTGATGTTGCTCAGCAACAAGGTGGGGTGTTTCTAGGTCAGAGAACTCTGAAAGGCAACAGAGTTTTGGCATCTTTTATAGCTACAGGCTTTGTCTTATCTATGGCGAGCAGATGTTGGGTGCAGTTTCATGGAGTATATAAGTAGGTAGGCTCTGAATGGCTAAAAATATGTTTATTTGGACTATATTTAATGGATGTGAGGTAATTTGGGTTTGCTGTTGGCTTTGGGCTAATGGTTCCAGCCTACTGTGAGGAAGTAACATTGGAGCCATTCTAGGCTAATAAACAAGACCTGTCTCTGGCTCACTTACATAACACTGGCTCAGTCAAATTTCATTTCTTTTAGAGGATATATATATATAACAAATGCACTAGGCTTTGTTCTCTAACTCACTAAAATTTCTCTGGGGTGGGAGATTTTGGCTTAAGTAGAAGGGAATATAAAAGGTCCAAAGTGAAAGCACTTTTCTGATCAAATGAAAACTTGTAGTCCTGAAATCACACTATGTGCATGGCTCCCTATTTCACTTTCTGTATGGGCTGAGAAGTACATTTCTTGATGGAAAGCTTCCTGAGGGCATACTGCTTCAGATCAATGGCACTTACTTTGGCTTCAGCTATCGACTTTGCAGTTTTTCATTGACAGTGAGATTCCATGTATGAATTTGTCTAGTCAAACCTGGACTAGACCAGCTATTTTTCTTACACTGTCTATAGTCAAACCCTGTCTTTTGGTCTGTGGTTAAAGCTGCTCCTTAAAGAAATAATCACCTTTGTCACAGGGCTTTTGCTGAAGAAATGGTCTCATCTTGCATGGTAATTTCTGTGTATTGCTATTGATGATAAGTATGACATGGTTTTACTCTTCTGGTTTATGCCCCAAACACAGCCTTCATTTTCCAGCTATAAGAGTGTCTTCATCCAATTGACTCTCCCTATTGAAATTCTGCCCTCTGAAATGTTACCTTGGTCACCTTTGGATGATAGGATTATGAGCATTGAGATTATTTGCTACTTTAGCCCACTTTGTATTGTCTTTATGCTTTGCTATGTTTCATTTTATAATTAAGAAAAGACTATGAAGCTATAAATAGAAAATACTCAGATTCAAATGATGTCATCAGTTGCTCTCTGGTTCCTCTTTCTTTACTGCTGGACTATGCTTTATTTATGTTGATCTTATTCTCAGTCTTACATTCTTTTCATTTATGCAAGATGGCTGCCAATTGTCCTTGGGGTTACAGTCTTCCTGGCTCATGCCCAACAGGAAAATGTGAGAATATTAGTTCCAGGATTCTCATTAAAAATCCTGAAATTTACTTTTTTGGACCAGGTTAGGTCATGAGTTTATTTGAACCAATCATTGTGGTCATAAAATATGATGTATTGATTGGCTTAGGCCTGGGACTACCCCCTAGGGCCAGAAGGAGAGCCTCACCTCACCCCAACAATGAGAACTGAGCATGGAGGAGAGAAGCATCACCAGTCAGGAATTATCCAGTGAAGAACAAATGTCCACTCTGTGTTTCTGGCCACCTTCATGTGAAGTGGCCAAAAGAATAGTTACTAACACTACAATGTTGGTAGGATTCTTATGACTCTCTCTAACATATCTGAGTTACCTTTTCTGTGTTGGTGGCTATGATTTTTGTCATAAAGATTTTTAAAAGTTATTTCATTTTTCAGAAGTTCCATATAGTTTCATGTATAGCACCTTGAGTTTCAGTTATTCCAGAGCAAAATTTAAAAATAACAATACATTAGCACACATAAAGTTTTGTAAATCATGCAGACCTGCTAAGTCAACTGTTGATAGATCTACAGTGGGAGACTGAATATACAAACAGGCATTAGCCAGGCTGTGCATAAAAATAGAAGTCTGGCCCACAGTGTGCAGTAATCAGTCCAGGAAACTAACTCATTATCTGCAATAACCAGCATGGAAGCCAGTCTGCTGTAAGTCAGATTTGTAGGAAGTAAGACCACGATCTCTAGCAATTGATTCTGGAAGCCAAATAATATCCTTTGTAACAATTGGCCCCAAATGGCCAGGATTTGATTAGTAACAGAGAGCTTCATAGTTTTTGTTCTTGCTCCCAACTCAGGACCAACCAGAGAAAGCCAAATTTGAACCCTTAACCAATCATGTGGGATGTCCCACTTTTAGTTAGTCTGCCTACAGCTTCTCCATGCCAACAACCTCCAATCAGGGCATACCTAAAGGTGTTTTTTTTTTTTTTTTTCCTCAACTATAAAGCTTTCCCATTCTTCTGCCTGCCTGTGAATCTTTGCCAAAATGCAAGTGATGGTGGCTGACTCCTTCGATATATTATAGCAAGTCCTGAATAAAAAGCCTTTGTTTGTTCTCTTATCGATGGTCTTTATTTCCATAAGTTACTTGAGAAACCACCTAATCAATAAAACTTGTATCCTATAGTCTTTTGTATGCCTGCAAATAAATCTGTAATTCTGTTCACTAAAATGGTATTTTTCAGTTACATAGTAGCAGATATTTAAAAAATATTAATTCTGGCAGGGTCCTTATATTGGTATCTCTATTTTACAAATGAAGTGACCTAAAACTGCTAAATTGAGTTACTTATAATGAATAAAAGGCAGAGTTAGGATTTGAATTTGACAGTTTTGTTTCACAACTGATCTTTAAACAAACAGATAATAGAAACTATAAGAGAAAAATAGGGCTAAAATTAGATTTCTTTTTTATATCAATGTCTGAAGAGAGAAAAGATTGAAGTTTATAAAATAAAGAAATATATCTATACTATGGATATCCTCTGATATTTGAAAGGCAACATTAAGACAAATGAAATAAATTGCTATTTTGTTTGGATGACATAAAACATATTTCTTAGTTGCTGTGTTCTTTGGACTGGTAAAGGATAATAGGAAAGTGGAAGAATTGTGTAGTTAAGCAAAAATCAAAGGCCTACCTACTTACTTCCCAGGACTCATTATATCCATCTTAGCAATCATGGACAAGCCACTTTACCTCTCTGGACCTCAATTTCCTCATCTTCTAAAATGAGGTTTGTAACCTCTATCTGCCAGACTATTGCAGGGATTAAATGAGGTAACGTGAGAATATCCTCAGTAACTGGCATTTAATACATACTGGTTCCTTTTTCCTCTCTGTTCAGGGTGTTGTCACTATCAGAATCATAGCTGTACATAGATGGCATAGTATCATCATCACTGATTTGCCAGTCAGTCATTGTCTCTCCAGATTGGATTTCTCCAGGATAGGAATGGAAACTTAGTTATCTCTGTAAAATTAGTGGCTGCTTGGACATAAACACTCTGCAAATGATCACTAATGTAGATAATCTTGGACTTCAGGAAGTATGTACTCCACAAGAAAAGAATAACGTGTGATATGATAAAGGAATGACATAAGACAGCAAAAACTAAAGTGATAAAATAGAAGGCACTGAGTAAATGAACAAAAAAGAGTAGGTGATGTTGGGAAAAACATCACTGGAGATGGATGAGCCTTGAGGTAGACATTAGCAAGGGAGAGGATTTTGCTACTAAAAAAAGGTACAAAATGTAGTGCAAGAGGAATGTGTAAAGGCATAGAGGTAGAAATAGACATGAATGTCTTGGAGGGATGCTGAAAATATAAGCTTAAGTAGCAGAAAATTCATCTGACAATGAAAAGAAAAAGAAGATTGCATAGCTATGGTCACTAATGTAGATAATCTTGGACTTCAGGAAGTATGTACTCCACAAGAGAAGAATAATGCATGTGATGTAATAAAGGAATGACATGAGACAGCAAAAACTAAAGTGATAAAATGTGAGGCACTGTGTTTATGTCCTATCAGGCACTAGTGATACAGAGATAACGAAGTTTCCATTCCCATCCTGGAGAAATTCAATCTGGAGAGAGAATGACCGGCAAATCAATAATGATGATACTATGCCATCAATGTACAGCTATGATTCTATTTAATCTGTTAAATGGGGTCTTGAGTTTGTCAACAGGTATGTCTGAGTACCTAATAATTGCCTATGCTTGCAACAGCCTACATCCTCTGCTAAACAAACAAAAGAAAGTCATTAACATAAAAACAGACTATTCAAAGAGTAGAGCCAGAGTCCTTACAAGGGCTCCCAAAGCCCTGCTGTTCTGATCCTCCATGGTGCTGCCCTGACTGCCTCTCCTTCCACTATCCTCCTGGCCTGCTCCACTCCACTCACACTGGCCTCCTGTTTCTGGAACATTCTAGGCAATGACCCACAGTAGAGTCTTTGCCCTGCTCTTCCCTCTGCCTGGAATGCTCTTTCTTTCTGGCATTTCCTTCACATCCTTCAGGTTTGTGCTCCTTTCTCACCTCCAGGAGGTTGGCTTGATCTCCACCTTTAAAACAGCAGCACCTCCAGCCCACCCTACTCTCTATTCCTTCCTACCCTGCTCTACATTTTCTTCTTCTCAGAGCACCAATCACCTCCTCACCTATCATAGATGTACTTATTTGTCATGCTTATTGTTTTATATCACCACTCTGGTGTAAGCTTCATGAGTGAAAAGTCTTAGTTTTGTTCACTGAGGTATACCGAGTACCTGGCACAGAGTAGGCCTCAACAAGCAATCATTCACTGAATACATGAAGAAATAGAAAATATTCAGTTTTACCAAATGAAAACAAGAATGAGGTTCCAGATTCAAGTAAACCTCTCTCTAGAAGTCAGTTTTAGGATTATTGATATTTTAGCATTTTAATTTAAGATCCTGACCATTTTACTACTCAGACCTATACAGAATCTGGACTTGTATTTTTTCATTCATTTACTCCACTGAAAGTCATTTGAACTTTATAAAAGTTGGAGAAAAAAGAGAAAATAATAGATGGAGGGCCACAGATTTCACACTGACATTAGCTGCAGCCAAGGAGACAAATGCAGAACAGAAAGCCCTCAATCAATGAACTTAGTTTCAAATGTGTATTAAGAAAGCCTGAAGTCTTAATTCCTTTTCTCAGAAATGTAGAAAGGTCAGGAACCTTGGTGACAGAATTTTGTTTGATCTTTCAGCTGAGGTTTCCAAGTGTTTTTCAGATATTTAAATGTGGATAAAAAGGTCAAACATCTTGAACTAAAAGTTATGACTAGGCTTTAAAACTTGGTGCGTTAAACAGCTACACAAACTAAATCATCGTTCATCAGGGAGCAAGAGTAACTTAGAAACAAAAGCTATGACACTTACACATTGTCAGCACAAATGGTAATTTGGCAATCAGCTTAATTCTGGGCAAGAAAACTTCTTTTGCCAATGGGGATAATGGTTCTAAGTATAATGAGAATCTTGTGCCAAATGGAAGAAAATAATTTAATCATACACTAAAAATTCAAAGAGAAGTTTCTTATTAGGATGAATAATATTATTTACCCATGGTACTCCAATCATGTGTCTTTGGTACTTTAGACAGGACTTAAAAATTGAAACACAGGAGTCATCTTTAATTTTTGTTTTTTCTTCTTAATACACTGTATTATATTAATCAATCATCAGAGTTTATAAACTTTTCTTTTTTTTTTTTTTTTTTTTTTTTTGTGAGACGGAGTCTAGCTCTGTCACCCAGGCTGGAGTGCAGTGACACGATCTCGGCTCACTGCAAGCTCTGCCTCCCAGGTTCACGCCATTCTCCTGCCTCAGCCTCCCGAATAGCTGGGCCTACAGGCGTCCGCCACCACGCCCAGCTAATTTTTTTGTATCTTTAGTAGAGACAGGGTTTCACCATGTTAGCCAGGATAGTCTCGATCTCCTGACCTCGTGATCCACCCGCCTCAGACTCCCAAAGTGCTGGGATTACAGGCATGATCCACCGTGCCCGGCCAACTTTTCTTTTGAAATAGAGTGGGCTGGGTCAAGCAGCTCCCTCTCCATCTCCACGTCATCACCATCTCTGTTCCTGTCCTCGGCCACCACTGCCATGGACCATTTGCTGGGTCCCCACGAAGTGGCTCAGGAGCTCTGACCCTCCCAAATTACCCTTTTGAAAATTCACTAATGCTTATACCTGTTTTTTGCTCTGGGCAGGTGGTGGGGTCTGAATACCTGAGATCAGTCATATGTCACTGCATGCCTACATGACTTCAATAGACTAAATGTTCTATATGTGGACACTTAATTCCTAATATGATAATATTGGAGATGGGGCCTTTTGAGGTGATTTGGTCATGCTAGTGGAACCCTCATGAATAGGATTAGTGCCCTTATATAAAAGAAACCCCAGAGCACTCCCTTGCCCCTTTCTGCCATTGAGGTTAGAGTGAGAAGGTACTGTCTATAAAGATATTATGAACCAGAAAATGGCCCTTCTCCAGATACTGAATCTACCAGTGCCCTGATCTTGACCTTCCCAGCCTCCTGAACTGTGAGAAATAAATTTCTGTTGTTTATAAGTGCTATTGTTTGTCCCCACCAAAAGTCACATTGGAAGTTTAATTGCCAGTGTGGCAGTGTTGGGAGGTAGAGCCTAGTGGGAGGTGTTTGGGTTATCGGGGTAGATTCCTCATGAATAGATTAATGCCTGTTAATCTTTGAAGTAAGTGACTGAGTTCTCACTCTCTCGGGAATGGATTTGTTCTCTCAAGAATGAGTTGTTATGAAGTGACTTGTTTAGTCTCTCTTTGCACATTCCACTTGCCTTTCTGCTTACCCACCAAGTCTTGATACAGCACAGCACATGACATCACCAAAAGCTGAGCAGAGGCTGGCACCATGCATTTGAACTTTCCAGCCACCACAATCATGAGCTAAAAAAACCTATTTTTTTCAAATAAATTACCCAGCCTCAGGTATTCTATTATAACAACACAAAATGGACAAAGACAATAAGCCACTCAGTTTATGGCATCTTGTGATAGCAGCCTGAACAGACTAAGACAATGACTGACCCCCAGTAAAAACCCTGAACCCAAGACTTAGTTGAGTTGCTTGTTTGATAACACCTCATATTTGTTGTCACCTATTGTTGCTGGGAGAATTAAGTGTGTCTTTGTGCAACTCCATTGGGAGGGGACACCTAGAAGCTTGTGCCTGGTGTTTCTTGAACTTTGCCCTATGTCTTTTTTCCCTTTGTTGATCTTTATCTGTATCTTCTCACTGTAATAAACCATAATTATGAATATATCAGTTTTTTTGACTCGATACAGATGCATATGCATGCAAACCAACAAATTATTTTTTAAAAAGTAATCACATACTTAGATTTCAAACATCATCTTTTCAGTCAAATTTATGTTTATTACATTATAAACTATTTTCATCATCTACTATGCCATAGTTTTCCTCTAATTTATGGGACAGTCAGGAGATCAAAGAGTGAAAACATTAGAAAGTGACATCTGCTTTGGGCATTACCCTCAAAAGTACAACCAGCTGGGACATATCCAAGTCCTCAATAGGCCATGCTCTGTTTCATACAGGCAGCCTCTTTAGGATAATGGGGCAATGCCAGTGGCTCATATCAACCCTATTAATATGAAGTGAGTTTCTTGTTTGGTGAAAATGTTTTGTAGAAGGAAATGAGGGTTGTAATGTATTCAATGAGTCAATGAAAAGAGTTTATGGCAAAGGCATCAGGTGTCAAAGGTGGGTAGGGAAAGCAAATCCAAATTCAGAATAATTATCTATTCCCATAAGGACAAACTGCTCTGCCATCTATGATGAAAAGAGGCTAAAATGATCAACTTGTCAGCTGAAATCTGTCATTTTCCACCCAGTCTTATGCTCTAGCTACTTTGGGCTCTTTGTGGTTCCCCACATGTATCACACTATTTCACAACTCTTGGTGTTCGTGCATACTCTCCTCTGTGCCTGGAATACCTTTCCATTGCTTCTCCACATGGGTAACTGCTACTCGGATATTATGTAGTTTTTTTTTTTTTAACTGTCATGCTTAACAGAGTGGAAACACAGTGAATGTTTTTGGATTAAAATGGAAGATGATATTACCAAAAGAGAATAGAGTGAGAATAAAACCTGATGAAAAACCTTGGAGAATACTTAAATTTAGGCCATATGATATATAATTCTCTATCCAAGGCCTAAATATATATATAATGATATATTATATATCACTACATATAATCAATATATAATTATATATAATATATATCATTATACTATTATATATAACATGTGTTATCTATAATAATAAAATAGATTATATCAATTATATATATTATGTATAATATATAATACATATAGTACACTATTATATATCATTATAAACTATATATCTCCAATACTGTAACTATATTTGGCTATATATATGTGATGTGAAGTCAAAGAAGTGAGAGTCTCAGGAAGGAGAGTTGATTGACTATCAGATATCGCAGAGAAGTCAGGGGACCTAACTGGATCTCATTCTCCAGGCTCCTCATTGGACTTTATTCTCAGACTGACTCTCTCCATAGGATGGTCACTTCCAATTCAATGTTTATATTGTCCTGTTTAAGAATTCCAGTGAAAAAAAACAGCATCTGTTTCCCAATAACTTCTTCAAGAGACCTAAGTCTAACACTCACTGACTCTGATGAACCAGTCACTGGCCAGAGGGACACGGTGCTCTGCTGGGCCAATCCTGATTCAAGTGGCCAACCCAGAGCTATTGGGATGGGGTAAGCCCCATCTGAATTTCTTCAGTGGATTTTCCCTAAATAAAGTGCAGGTGGGCCAGGTGCGGTGGCTCATGCCTGTAATCTCAGTACTTTGGGAGGCTGAGTGGGGAAGATCATTTGAGCCTAGGAATTCAAGACCAGCCTGGGCAATATAGGAAAACCCCATCTCTACAAGAAAATAAATAATAAAGAAATTAGTCAGGCATGGTGGTGCAAACCTGTGGTTCCAGCTCTTTGGGAGGCTGAAGTGGGAGGATCACTTGGGCCTGGGAGTTAGAGGCTTCAGTGAGCCATGAGGGTGCCACCGCACTCCAGCCTGGGTGACAGAACAAGAACCTGCCTCAAAAAATTTTTTTAAATAAATTTAAAGAAAAGAAAGCACAGGTGCTGTCACTAGAGGAACGTGAATGAGTGTTAGGCAAAAACAATAGAAATCTACTCTAGCAGTACATGAAGTAGCATAATTCTCAGTGTAATTAGTAAAATACTCTACCAACATGTAGATCATAAGAGAAACTACGGAAAGGAAAATTATTTTTAAAAATTCTGTACACATTTGAATCTATCTCCCTCTTTTGGTGTGGAATGGCAAAATGAGTTAAGTCAGCCCTTTCTGAATTGTGAATGGTGGAGAGCCATCAGTGCCTCTGGAGTGACTGGAGGAGACCTGTGTGAATGCTTACCTAGAGTTCTGTTTTTGAGGCAACAAATTCAGGACATATGTGTGTGTATGTATGTGTGTGTATATGTTTTCCATACTATCCCTTAAAACTGGCTACAATATATATTTCAAAGTCATAGAAATTAAATTCACTATTTTTTCATTCATTAGTTATATTTTTATTTAAGCTTGAAATATTGGTTAGGAGAAGAGGGTACAACAAAACCATATTTGTATCTATCCTATTATTGCCCATATCTGGCTATATCCATGATGCATTACTTCAAATAATAAAATCTGGCCAGAGCACTTCCTATTAGTAAATCCAGCTCCTCATATCAGCATCACAAAGGTATTCTACTATCAATGTAATATGGATTTTAGAGCAGTAAGGGACTGCAATTCTGCACTTATCATCTAGCTGAGACTGGTCATTTTACAAATGAATAAACTGAAGGTCAGAGAAGTGAGTAACTTGCCCAAGATCTATCAATGTCAGAGCCAGGTCTACAGCAGGAAGACTGGGACTAGAATTGTGCTATTGTTATTATATCCCAACGCTCAATGCTCTCAGAACCTAATGGAAACATCCATAAACATTTACATACATGTTGCATTTTGATATATGTGGTCCAGTCAAGAATTCTGATCTTTATTTGAGTCTGTCTCAAAATTTGAGGGGTGAGATACTTAGTACACAGGAACTCATCTTATATCATCCTCCTCTTCTACTGTTTAGCCTGAAATTCCTAGGAGCTTATCAGTCTTTTATTCAAGATCTCTGTCTCTCTCTCTCTGTGTCTCTCTCTCTGTCTCTCTCTCTTGTTCTCTCTCTCTCTCTCTCTCTGATCCTGAACCTTCACCATCCATTATCTTACTCTCTCAGTTATCTGTTTATTCCATGCTACCTTTACGTGACACATTCTCGTGCCACTCACAACTATCTAGGGATTATTGTTCTTTCTTCTGCTTTGACTTTTTTATTTTTTAAAGAGAATCCATGTAGATGTTGTACCTGTTTTCCTCTAAGAGCAAGGATGGGTAGAGAAAGTACCAGGAGAAGCTAAAAAGGGCAGTGGGAGGGAAGGCGTACATCTGTGGAGGTGTATAGTAATGATAATGAAGAGCATATCCTTATTATATTTCAAATCTGGGCTTGCTCTCTCAGTAAGCAGAACTGCAGCTCACCCTTGCTCACGACATCTTTGTTCTCATAAGAAACGATTGTGTGGATTTACCACCAGTCAAAAAAGAATGCTCCATTTAAACAAAGTTTGGCTCAACCATTAGGTTGCCTTTGGTTCCTATATCAAACTCTTCTCCAATCTGCAGTTGCTAAAGTGGCAGAGTTGTTTTGCTTGAAGCTGGAGGCATATCTCATGCCAGCTTTTGAGGGGGGATAAAACACAGTTTAGTAGACTCTCCTTAAAAAGTGGCTGAACATCCTGCAGGCTCTTAAGTCTTCATGGACTTTTGTAATATGGCAAGCACACTCCTCCTTCCTACCCTACAGGTTGTACAATGAACTTAACTATCAATAAATATTCAAATCTACAGTGCATACCCAGTATGGTTCCAGGTGTAGCTAAGGTAATGGTTTCTGTCCTGTTCTAGTTGGCTACTCTTCTTGTATCGAGCTGGCTTATTGAATTTTTTTTCTGTGTTCCACGCTGTTCAGGTTCTCTATAGTCTGTGTGTTACAGATCACGGCTTCATACCAGAGCTGTTATTGTCAGTTCCAGAGCATGGGAAGCCTTTCTATCAGTATTTGCTTCTTTATCAGCTGTATTTCTCCCTGACAACACGTTCAGCAAAATGCCTGCTGTAGCTGCTTGTTTTCCTAGGAGTGGGGTTTTTATATCTGTGCAGTGTTTTCTGCTCCCTACTTTGTCTCCCTGTACTCTATACCCTCTCTGCTCCAGGGCAGTGCTGTGGGAAGCACTTTGCAACCCATTCTCCATTTCTGAGAGAAAGGAATAGATAGAATTAGACCAAAACAAATTCCTCCACTGTACAGAATGTTTGGAGTTTATGATGCTTTGTGGAGTCTCAGGGTTTTATTGTTTAACCACTTCATACCCATTTTAAAAGTAGATGATAGTTATGGCAAACATGGAATATGCATGCATCTTCCTAGTTCAAATTTATCAAAACAAATGACCTTTTTGTATCACAGGATGATGATATGATTTTTCTCTTTTGATCTATTAATAAATTTTCTACTGTCAAATTAACCTTGCATTTCTGAAATTAATTTACTAGGTCATTCCCTAACATTTAAAAATATTTAAAGTAATTAAGTGTACCTTTTGTTTAGGAGTTTTGAGTCAGTTCTTTTAAGGGCGATTGTTCTGAAGTTTGTGCTTTCTTTGTTAGATGGATGCTGACTTCATATAAAGAATAGAGACAGTTTCTTTCTTTATCTATGTTCTGGACCAGTTTATATAGCATAGAAACAATTTGTTCCTGGAAAGTTTGAAATAATTCATCTGTAAAACCATCTGGGTCCTGCACATTTTTGAGGAGTAGTTCTGTGACAACTTTATTTTTTCCATGAAAATTGATTTATTTAGGTTTTCTACCTCTTCAAGGGCCAATTTTGGTAATTTATTTTCTTAGACTACTGTTCATTTCTTTAAGATTTTATTAATATAGAGTTGTGCAAAGTACTTTCTTGGAGTTCTTTTAATAGTCTCTTGGTTCCCTTTTCATTTCTAAGTTTGTGTATAGGGCACTTCTGACAGCACAATTGGTTCTTGTACAATAGTTAGAAGTCAAGTCATGCTTAGGCAAATTCTTTTTATCCTGTTTATACAATCTTACAAATTAGAGTTCTGGTTCTCTTCATACTATAAAAATACCAATGTTAATCACAGAAGCAAATGCAAGGAAAGTACAAAATAGACTTGTTAACTAGAAGCAAATATTTATAAATACATAAAGCAAACATTTAGAATAAAATATAGATTTCAAATATTTCAAATACTCCATTTGAAGGATTTTTCTCTGTGGAATTACACTAGGTAAGCTTTTTCAAAATGAATTTAGAAGGTTTGGATTGAGGTTTTTTTTTTTTTAACTTGTTTTCTTTTGCTTGAAAAATACCTTGAGGCACACAGAGGTACTGTTCGTTAATCCAGTGAAGATCTGCCTTGAAAATTTCTATTGCACAAAGTTATTGAAGGATAAATTCCGGAGGATGGGTTTATTTTCATGATAATTCTATATAGCTGATCACAGGATGACAAGGTAGAGGTGAATCTAGAGACAGAGGCAGGGAGCGGAGAACAATGTGTCATGGATATTTTGTACCATATATAGAATTCAAGGCCAGATCTTGTAGATCGTGGGAGGCTATTGAAGAGTTTTAACCATTTGTGTGTTAGGTTGGTGCAAAAGGAATCATGGGTTTGCAATTGCTTTTAATTGCAAGAACCGCAATTACTTTTGCACCAATCCATTTTGCACTTCATAAATACAACTCTGACAGCAATGTGAGGCATAGATTAGAAGGAAGAAAGCATGAAGGCAGGGAAACCAGTTATAACAGAAGGGAAATAAGTTAGAGGTCAGAAGGGTCAGATCCAAGTAATATTTAAAAGGCAAAAGGGCAAGACTTAGAGACCAGTTGAATGTGAGGAGTAAGGGGAGAAGAAACATTTAGTTTGGTTTACAGATCACCCATGGCCTGAATAATTGAATGAATTATGGTAACAATTCAATTACTTAAGGTAATTCAGAGAGACCCCTCCATTTTAGGATTATTTTCTCAATTTTTTTTTTAATCTAAAACTGCCACTCCGCCTCCCTAGTGGGTTTCAACTGGAGTACAAAGTAATGCCTAGTGCCTGCACTTGCATTCTCAGCTGAGAGACTCTTACCCCAGTGACCTCTTATGCCTTCCCAGACATCTTCTCTGTATACTGAGCTTGTCAGATGGTTACCAATATAGCATTACCAGATGACTCGCTTTACCATTTTTTTGAGTACTCTGTAGACTCTCAGTGAATGTTTATAATGTTAGTGAATGCAATCCTCAGTTGTCCTGGGCAATTTAAAGAATTAAAATTATTGTGTATGTGCTCCTTAGAAAATCACTTTCTGATTTAGAATTTCTTCACATACCAATCTGTACTCAAAAAGTATTTTCACAGTCTTGATGAAAGCAGGTGAAATTCTAGATAGAACACTTTGAGGAAGGAGATGCTTTACTGTTTTTTCCATAATCCCTCTCTAATCACCAATCCCAAAATACTCCAGCCTTTTTCTCCCTTTGTCTTAGTCTGTTTTTTGCTGCTACAATAGAATACCTAAGACTGGGTAATTTATAACGAAGAGAAATTTATTGGCTGACAGCTCTGGAGGCTGAGAAGTCCAATATCAAGGTGCTAGCATCTGGGGAGGGCCTTCTTGCTGTGTCATCTCATGGTGGAAGGAAGAAGGGCCAAGAGAGGACTGAAGTCATCCTGTGATAACGGCACCAATCTCATCCATAAGGGTGGAGTCCTCATGGCCTAATCACCTCTTAAAAGTCCCACCTCTTAATACTGTTACAATGGCAATTAAATTTCAACATGAGTTTTGGAGGGGACAAAAATTCAAACCACAGCACACCTGAAGGCTTTTGCTCATGCAACTGTCTTTGTTGGGAAATTCTAGAAATTGTACCTATTTTTTTAAGCTCAGTTCAATATGCCAACTGCTTTAAAAAGCTGGTCCTAGTGGCAATCTTGTCTTATTTTATGCTCCCATGGAATTTTATTCATGATACTTTTAAACCCTCTTCTTGTGGGTTATTTGTACACATGGATTATGTCCTTGGCTTGATAGTGAGGTCCTTGTTAGTCTTTATTTCTCCTACAACATTTAGCATAGTGCCTTTCACATAATAAATCATCAAAACAAATTTGTTGAGTTAAATTTGAGTTAAATTTCTAACTGAAAAGGAATGGTAAAATATTATAATTAGGTTATAATATTATAATAAGTTTTATATGTTATATATTATGATAAGCTTTAGGTATTTTAAGCTGATGAGAGGCCTTGACTTGAGACTAGGGGTGTGTGTTCATGTATATGTGTGTGTGTGTGTGTGTGTGTGTGTGCGCGTGCACATGTATATTTCATGCAATATACATTGATATGTCATTTCCTTCAGCATTTCTATAAAGTATTGTTCCCAGTATTTGGACTTAACTTTGTGTATAAATTTGAGAAGGGTCTGAAGGGCCTACCTGGGAAAAACCAAGGAATTTGAGTGATGACAAGTTAAGACACACATCTAGTGTTAAATCTGGATAGTAACTGGAAGTTTATACTAATTATTCAGGTCTGATTACAAATTAATAAACCCTTATAGCAGCTAAATGTGAAAATTTGAACATCAAAAGTGATAGCAAATATTATAATAAAGAGCAAGAAAGAAATTTCAATACTTTACTATAGCTCCTACTTTAATTTTAAAAATGTATTAGCATTTTGCTATCTCAAAATATTTGCTAGATATATGGAATAGTGTCTATTTTGGAAGTGAGATAAACCACATAAAATAGTTATTTAGAACAAGTACACATTTATGAATTATATCTCACTAACAATATAATATACATCTTCCATTCAATTATATTAATATCAATTATTTGATATTTGAGATTTTTTTTCAGTTGCAGCATTCCAACTAACGTAACCATCTCTTTCCATAAACAGAGATATGTGTTAATTTTACACTAATTCCTAAGATGATTAATTGATATATTGGATGAAATGCTTTAAAAAATCTGAACCTTGATTGGTGCTTGAAGTAACAAGTCCCAAGCCACGGGTTAATCAAGAAAACTATACATTGGTCTTCATCAACATATCAAGAATCAGCCCACCAATAACAGAATCATCAAACATGTACATTTACTGTGGAAAATTCTATTACCCTTAACTCAGCTTGAAAATATCAGTGTCTTAATAATCTCTTGTTTGATATAGACTAG
Source organism: Homo sapiens (assembly GCF_000001405.40). Taxonomy (NCBI): domain Eukaryota; kingdom Metazoa; phylum Chordata; class Mammalia; order Primates; family Hominidae; genus Homo; species Homo sapiens. Next base: position 98,960,349 of record NC_000006.12, on the reverse strand, counting down.
AACTTTTCCTGTGGAGAGAGCATAGTTCTTTTGCACATTTTCTTTGATTAACTACATTTAAGAGCAGATACCATTATCCACACTTGACAAAATATCTAGAAGGTGAAGTAATTCAGCCAAGGTCACACTGCTAGAGAGAGACCTAAATCAGCTCTAGACATCTTGGCTGCAATTAACACTCTCCTGAATCCAGAAATAAGTTGGAAAACATATATTTCTATGCTTGGACAGTTCCAAGTTATTGTAAGGTCCCAGATGATGTTGTCACCAACCTCTGCTTCCCTCCTAATGCTAATGAAGGGTGAAAAGTGATGGAGGAGACATCTGACAGGATTTTTCCTGGAAAAGGGTATAGATGAGAACCTGAGACATAGCTATGTGTCCCACTATTGTGAGCTGTGGATTGGCAACAAACATTCTATAGTATGGTTTAAGTTTGCTATAATGTGGTCATTCATGAGTGTGGAATGAGTTACAAAGCACCCAAGGCAATACGTGTCCCTTTTAATATGCTGGAGAACAACAGTTGCCATGGATGTGTTCTGGGGAGTCCCTGGTGCTGGTTAATGATAAAACAAGAGGTAGGAGAAGTTTGAAGGTAAGGTGAAGTTGGTAGAGTTGTCCTAGGCTCTTGGTATAATCCTTCCTCAGATTTAATTCTGGTGCCTGGTTGATACTTTTATCTTACATAGAGGGTGCCAGATAATGGGGAAAAGGAAAGAAAAGAAAAGAAAAAAGGAAAGAAGAACATGGAATAGAAGTGTGGTTGGTATTAGATCTTGATTAGAAAATGAAAGGCACATCTACTTACATTTCTCTATTGTATGGCACTGGAAGTGAAACCTATTTGTCACCAAGGACTAGATGCTCTTTAGAAATCATTCTTAGTTGTATCATTATTTTATTGCACTTAAGTAAAGAGCTTTTGAAAATTATAGAACAATAAAATTTATTCCCCACATGCCATATTCTCATTAATTGCCTTCTGTGAATGCGCAGACGTGTGGCTGTTTTTTTCAAACCGATAACTTAAGGCAAGTAAAGTGTTGACAGCAACAGGTAAAAGAGCAAGACATCATCTTTTTAGATATAAAAACAGCAAAGCTCAAAGAGAACGTGAACTTACTGATTCAACGTGTTTTCAGAAGATGAAGGTCTGTTAGAGTCCTGAAGAAAACAAGACTGAGAAAACTTTGCCCATAAATCAGCAATTACTGGTAGTTAGTCAATATTACAGATTTGATAAAGTGCCAGAGCGCACTAATGATATGAGAACATTAAGTATTTGGTCACAAAGTCACAGCAAGTCCTTGCTCAGATTTACTTTGGAGCTGTCTGGACTTGGAGCTGTTGCTATGAATAATAAATCTGATGTTTTTCTTATGCCCTCATTTCTGTGGCATTGTGCTGCACTCACACTTGGTGAAAACAAAGGCAGGCCAAAATGCAACAGCAGCTGGAGACGTGACGTTACTGGTTTAGAATTTTTACATATAGAAAGTTAAACTGATGAAGCTCATGTATTCTTGGTAATGCCAAAATTCTGTCTCCCAAATTCTGCTGATATTGGTTACTGGGTTGCTCAATTGCTTGCAAGAAGGGCCAGGTATTTAGTCTTCTGAAATGAAAGGAATGCCCACTTGTGCCATCACCTCCTAGGTTTTTATCTTGCACCTGCCTTTACAGTAAAATGGAAATACAATATGGAATACCTCTCTCCATTCCCAAGGAAATCCAAAAACTGTCCAAATGAGTCAACACAGATATTTAACAAGATTCTATCCATTTGCTTTGCCCATGTCTCCAGCTAAAGTTAAGGCATTGCTTTGTAATTTTAGTACCTGTTCATGGTCAGTCTTCGTAGTTCAGATAAAATATTCTGCAAGTGGAATGGCCTACAACTTTCTACTCAGGGGGTAGTTCTGGGTTCAGTGACATCTGTTATCACCTGGGAGCTTGTTATTAATTCAGAACTCAGGCCCCACCCAGAATCAGAATCTGCATTTTAACATGATCTCCAGAAGATTCATAAGCACATTAAAGTTTGAGAAGCAGTGGCCTATAGGACTTTTATTACTTTTACTGCAAATGGTATTTATCAGGCATTTTATGTAAAAGAATGCCTGCTTAGATACTTATGATAGCAGTTGGAGGCACAGACAAATTGGAATAGAATATCATACCAAACACAATTTATATGTAAGATCTAACTTTTAGTTTAAGTAAACATAAATTCTTATTAGTGAGTGAATAAAATACTAATACTGTTATTGTCAAAAAATGGCCTCTCCTACCATCAAAATGCTACCTTCAAAGAAAGTAGCTCAAAACTCTACTCTTCTGAGTTTCAAATACTTGTGTTAGTCCCCTAAAGAGGTTTTTTTTTTTTTAAGTAATTGCATTAGGATTCCCTTCTAGCTGCACTAATGGCTATGGAAGAATATTCATTTTTAGGGAAATAGAACATACAAATATGAAATTAGTTCAAGACCTCTCATCCTATAAAATGGTCCAACACTATATGAATAGCAATCTACTTAGTAAATAGTAAATAAAGTGCTTGGTTCCATAATGAATTTATCACACTGATCATCGTTAAATCTTGTCTGATCCAGCTCCAATTTGTTTATACTGCCCTGGCAGCCACAGGCATTCTCAAAGGGCAAGAGGCCAGGAGCCAGGCGGAAGGAAAAATGCTGCCTGCAGCCCTTCCTGGATTATCATCCTCTTGTAATCCTAGTGGCTTGCTTTGTGAGTCATCTGTTTTGGAGGAAAAGACCGCTACTCTAAAGCAATCAAATTTCTTACCATTAAAGGCTGAAATGATAAGCAAGAAAAAAATAGTAAGAGAATGATGTATAATAAGGAGCTTTATTTATCCTTGGTTACATTTTTTTTATTATTATGCTTGAAGTTCTGGGATACATGTGCAGAACGTGCAGGTTTGTTACATAGGTATACATGTGCCATGGTGGTTTGCTGCAACCATCAGCCTGTCATTTACATTAGCTATTTCTCCTAATGCCATCCCTACCAACACCCCCACCCCCTGACAGGCCCCAGTGTATGATGTTCCCCTCCCTGTGTCTAGGTGTTCTTATTGTTCAACTCCCACTTATGGATGAGAACATGTGGTGTTTGGTTTTCTGTTCCTGTGTCAGTTTGCTGAGAATGATGGTTTCCAGCTTCATCCATGTCCCTGCAAAAGACATGAACTCATCCTTTTTATGGCTGCATAGTATTCCATTGTGTATATGTGCCACATTTTCTTTATCCAGTCTATCATTGATGGGCATTTGGGTTGGTTCCAAGTCTTTGCTATTGTGAATAGTGCTGCAATAAACATACTTGTGCATGTGTCTTTATAGTAGAATGATTTATAATCCTTTGGTTATGTACCCAGTAATGGGATTGCTGGGTCAAATGGTATTTCTGGTTCTAGATCCTTGAGGAATCGCCACACTGTCTTCCACAATGGTTGAACTAATTTACACTCCCACCAACAGCATAAAAGTGTTCCTATTTCTCCACACCCTCTCCAGCATCTGTTGTTTCTTGACTTTTTAATGATCGCCGTTCTAATTGGCATGAGATGGCATCTCATTGTGGTTTTGATTTGCATTTCTCTAATGCTTGGTCACATTTTTGATCAGCACATTAAAGAGGCAAAGGCATTTGCACCTCAAAATTCTAGAGACCTTCTACCAATGTATAACCAGAAGAAAAGAAGGGAAAGCATATTTTAAAAATCATTTTCTTTATTTCTTTTTAAATGACTTTGAAACAGAGGAATTTTTCCCAACAAGGCACTGAAAAATCTGACCAAGAAACCCCTTAACAGTTATAGTATCACAAAGGATGATATTTAAAGATGCGCTTTTAGGGAGCCTCTTATCAGATTACCTTTTTCCTTTCACAAATTATTCAGGAGAGATATAGGGCTGCCAGATGAAGGAAATGCATTATTGAAGGGTACTGGGTTTGGGGAAAACTTTATAATACAGTCTCATTAATTATTATAATTATTTAATTTTGAAATACACAAATTATTCTTGAGTCATTTGTATTTACTATGTACATTATATTACTTAAATATTAAGCATAAGGGGAAATATATTTATGGCTCAATAACAAGAACAGGATTCACTTTTGTATGTTTCAAAGGAGATGGGTAACCCAGGAAAGCATTATCTTCCATTTTTTGTTTTAAATTCACAGTTTGTGTTAACATGGGGAAGGAACATTAACAGTTGTGCAAGGGCATGTATAAAATGTATATAAAAAATCCATGTATATAAAAAATCCAGAGTTTATCTGGATAATCCAGCCCCCTCAAGTCTTCCACAGAGGACAAAATAATTGCAAGACATTGAAGACCTTGAATTATATGGAACATTCATGTTGAAACTCTCAGATAATCACTTGTCGCTTTTGAGTTACCTGTATGGACAGAAAATCCTTGTTTTTCTATAGATTACCACGTCACCCTATGAACAGACCACAGGCACCTGCCTAATACAGATACACAGGAGCTCTTTCAAAAGCAACTCCACTTAAAAAAGGAAAAAGTAGGGAGGAAAGGAATTGTAGCCTCAGTTGAGCTTACCCAAGGCCCTGGCCATAAGCTTCGTTTTCCTAGCTGTTGGTAGGTGTAAAGTTACCTCAGGAAGAGGGCTCTTTGGTCCTTTGTCTCTAGGTAGTATTTCTCCTGCATTACTCCTGACCACTGACAATCTTGATTAATGCTAAGTTTTTGAGTATATAACCCAGGCTACAGAAAAAGGGACAAATCAAATCAAAACAGCATAAACAGAACAAATTAGAAAGGCTTTTGTTTTTTAAATATATTTCAAGATATTGCTTGTAGGCCTGTGTAAAGTCAGTTTTAAGTTTTATCATATTATTTTAAATAATCTTGTAATTGGTATTCACTTATTAAGGATATTAGAAATTGTTCAGTGTAAGCTGCAAGTTAAGAGACCTACATTCAAGTCTTCACTTTGCAAGCAACTTGTCACAAATCTTTGGGTAAGTCATCCAGTCTTTCTAGGCTTTTCTTTCTTCCGGTGACAATTAAAAGGGTTAGACTAGAATGAACTTGAAGGTTCTATTCTGACATTTTGTGTTGGAAAGGCTCAATTACTGATCTTCCACATGTTTTAATAAATATTAATAAAATTCACACATTTGCATACTACCTTGTAGCTCACAAAGTACTTTCATATATATGATCTCTTTTAAATCTCTCCAGTACCTGTGAGTTAGGAACGTTTCATAAAAGCAAGAAAACTCAGAGAAGTTGCAACTTATCTAGGATCACAGAACTACTAAAATGGCAGAGCTGGATAGCAGGTCTTCCTACTTCCAAGCTCAATTTTTCCTTCTATTATATTCAGCTACTTCAAGGTTATGGTAATATGGGAGCATATTTAGTTAAGTTTATTGAAGTGTAAAGAAATATGACATCATTAAAAAAACCCAAATTTCTGGATTTAAAGTCACAGAACTAGATTTCATTGACAGCTCTGTCACTCTGATTTGGGGAATTCATTTTGTCTCTCCAAGCCTCAGTTTCCTCATCTATAATAAAAAGAATTTGGACTCCATGGATTTGGGCTTCTTCTTTGAAATTCTAGTTTTTGGGCCGGGAGTGGTGGCTCACCCCTGTAACCCCAGCACTTTGGGAGGCCCAAGCAGGCAGATTACTTGAGGCCAGGAGTTTGAAACCTGCCTGGCCAACATGGTGAAACCCCGTCTCTACTGAAAAAACAAAAATTAGTGAAGTGTGGTAGTGCACGGCTGTAATCCCAGCTACACGGGAGGCTGAGGGATGAGAATCGCTTGAACCCAGGAGGCAGAGGCTGCAGTGAGCTGAGATCACGCCACTGCACTCCAGCCTGGGCAACAGAGCGAGACTCTGTCTCAAAAATAAATAAATAAATAGGTTGGGCGTGGTGGCTCATGCCTGTAATTCCCAGACTTTGAGAGGCAGAGGCAGAGACCAGCCTGGCCAACGTGGTGAAACCCTGTCTCTACTAAAAATACAAATAATTAGCTGAGTGTGGTGGTACACGCCTATAACCCCAGCTACTCGGGAGGCTGAGACAGGAGAATCACTGGAACCTGGGAGGTGGAGGTTGCAGTAAGCTGAGATCATGCCATTGCACTCCAGCCTGGGCGACAGAGTAAGCCTTCATCTCAAAAAATAAATAAATAAGTAAATTCAAAAATTAAATAAATAACAAAATAAAATAAATAAGTAAATACAATAAAATTATGGTTTTCTTTTTAAAAACAGTGACTATTTCTAGATTAATAAATATTAAGTGGAACCTTTTTATGGACGATAAGAGGTTAAAGAAAAAAGTAGACTACAAAATTAGTCCTACTGGCTACTATTCATGCTCTTTGGCCACTGGGATATTAAAAATCTTGAACTAATATGATTGACTGAACTCTACTTTCCAGCAAACTAGTTAACCTAAGATTTCACAGAAGGATAAATTATTTTAGTGGAGTTATGTAGAAAATATATGGAGTTGCATTTTCTGAAAGGCCTTGACTTGAGAGAAGAACTTTCTTAGAAATCAATGATAGAAAACCAAAGGGACTTACTGTGAAGACATTTTTGGCCCTCTGCAATGTTCTGATTCTCTGCCCTCTGACATTGTCATGCATACTTACAATCCTGAAAGTTAATAATTGGTAGACATTTTATTTTAAGATAAAGAAAAATTACTTGAAAATAGTAAAGGGGATGATGGTGAGTGTTTCAAGAGTTAGGGACAAAGAAGAGTTTTGAACCTGCTGCTTTTTTTGCCCGCCTCCCCATCTGAGTAGAACATTGCAACTTTTGAAGCTCACATAGAATAGATCATAACTAGCTTGCTGAGTTGGTGACTTTATGCACAATTAAGCCTTGTTGGGACTTTCTTTATTTGTGATAGTGCTGTTACAGCGTGGGATGCTATTCATTTCCAAACAACATTCCATTTAATAACGAGGCATTAGTTCACCCATTAAATCAGGGCCATCACTAACTGATAAGCATCACCCTTTTTTTTTTTTTTTTGGCCTCACTTGGCTCTCCTGCCCAGCAAACAAAGCATGGCAACAACATGGCCCTTGAGATGTAAAGGTTGGAGGAAGGGTAGATTGAACAATGATGACCAAAATTCTATCTAGTCACAGAAATCTAACATTCCCCTAGGCTTTTCCTTTCTTTAAATAAGAACTTTTTATTTCTAAGCAGTACTTAAAGTGCCATTACAAACAAAGCTAAGCAAAAAAACTAAATAAATAATAGCACCAACTTCCACATCTCTTAAACATTAAAGAGATGAAAATGTATGGAGGGAAATGCAACAGATAGGCACCCAAAAGATAAGAACAAGAATGTTAATAGCAGCATTGCTTACAATAATCAAAACTAAAAACAGCTCAATGTCTATCAAGAGTAGAATAGATAAATAAATTATGGTATATTTATGTAATAGAAACTCAAGAAACTATCACTACACTTGACAACATGAATAACCCTCACAAAGCTAATGTTGTGAGAAAGAAGCCAGACTCAAAAGAGTGTGTAATGTATGATCCCATCTACCTAAAGGACAAAACTTAGGAAAATTAATCTCTGGTGTTAGAATTCAGGTTACCTTTGGGCAGGAGTAAGGAGAAGAGATTTAGGAGAGAATCTGGGAGGTTTCTGAGTACTGGTGATTATCTACTTTTTTGTCTGAATGGTGAATACAAGGGTATGTACACTCATCTTTTGCATTCTTTTCTGAATATACTTTATACTTAAATAAAAACTTATTTAGAAGTTATCTAGGATTAAGAAACCACTGTTAGACTGAATTTGAGCATTGAGTTGATGCTTATCAAATCAATGAAGTCTCACCAGCAACCATAAACAGATCAGTCTTATTTACTTATTATATTATTTTTTAATCCAGTTTTAATTTTACAATAGATTTAGATTTACAGAAAAGTTGCAGTGAATAGACTGACATTTACAGAAGAATTGCAATGACAATACAGAGAGTTCCATACATCACTCATCTAGTTTCCCCTTATTGTTAAGAGCTCATGTTACAATAGTATGTTTATTACAACTAAGAAATCAGCACTGGTGTGTTATTATTAAATAAATTCTACTCTTCATTCTAATTTCACTAGTTTTTCTACTAACGTCCTTTTTCTGTTCCAGGATTTCATTCAAAATATCATATTAGATTTTTTGAAAAGATAAGTAAAATCGACAAACCATTAGCCAGACTAAGAAAAAATGAGAAATGACCCAAATAAACAAAATCAGAGATAAAAAAGGAGACATTACAACTGATACCAGAGGAATATAAAGATCATAAGAAACTATTAGGAACAATGATATGCCAACAAATTTGGTAACCCAGAAGAAATGGATAAATTTCTGGACACATACAACCTACCAATACTGAATCATGAAGCTATAGAAAATGTGAACAAATCAGTAACAAGTGGCAGATTGAATTAGTATAAAAGGTCTCCTATTAAAGAAAAGCCCAGGACATGATGGCTTTACTTCTACCAAACATTTAAATAACAAATTGCAATTCTTCTCAAACTCTTCCAAAAAACTGAAGAGGGGGAAATACTGCCAAGGTCATTCTATGGGGCAGGCATTACCCTGATAGCAAAATCAGGCAAGGACACAACAAAAAAACAAAGCTTATAGGCCAGTATCCCTGATGAATATAAATGCAAAAATCTTCAACAAAAGAGATCACTAACGATGGTCAAGAAGGATTCATAGCAGACATGCAAGAATGATTCAACATAAAGCAAATTAATAAATGTGATACATCACTTTAACAGAATGAAGGACAAAAACCACATTGATCATTTCAATAGATACAGAAAAACATTTGACACAATTCGTTATTTTTCTCTGATAAAAGCTCAATGAATTAGGTATAAAAGGAATGTACTTCAGTACAATAAAGGCCATATATGACAAGTCCCCAACAGCTAATACACTGAATAGACAAAAGTTGAATGCTTTTCCTCTAAGAACCAGAACAAGACAAGGATGCCCGCTTTCTCACTTCTATTCAACATAGTACTGGCAATCCTAGCTAGAGCAGTTAGGTAAGAAAAAAATAAGGCATCTAAATTGTATAGAAGTTAAACGGTCCTTGTTTGCAGATGATATGACCTTATATATATAGAAAAACCTAAAGACTTTACTAAAAAAAACTGTTATAATAAATTTAGTAAGTTTGCAGGATGTAAAATCAACATACAAAAATCAGTAGCATTTCTATACACAGAAAGCACACTATTTGAAAAAGACATCAAGAAAACAATTCCACTTACAATGACTACAAAAACAACCCATAAAATAAAATACTTAGGAATAAATTTAACCAAGGAGGTGAAAGATCTGTACACTCAAACTATAAAACCTTGATGAAAGAAATTAGAGAAGATGCAAAAAATGGAAAGATATTCTGTGTTTATGGATTGGAGGAATAGTTAAAATGTCCATACCTACCCAAAGCAATCTACATATTCAATGCAGTCTCTAACAATATATCAATGATGTTCTTCCCAGAAATAGAAAAAAAAATCCTAAAATTTGTATGGAACCACAGAAAATCCTGGATAGAGAAAACAATGTTGAGCAAAAAGAATAAAGCTGAAGTCATCACAATACGTCACTTCAAAATATATTACAAAGCTATAGCAATCGAAACAGCATGGTAGTGGCATAAAAACAGACACATTAACTAATGGAACAGAATATAGAGGCCAGAAATAAAGCCACACATCTATGGTCAATTGCTTTTTTTACAAAAGGTGCCAAGAACACACAATGGAGAAAGGACAGTCTGTTCAACAGTGTTGGCAAAAACTAATGTCCACACGCAGAAAAATGAAATTAGAACCTTATCTCTCACCATATAGAAAAGTCAAGTCAAAATGGATTAAAGGCTTAAATTTAAGACCCAAAACTATGAAACTTCTAGAAGAAAGCATAGGGAAAAGTCTCCATGACATAAGTCTGGGCAAGATCTTATCTTTTTGGTTAAGATCTGAAACACATAGGCAACAAAAGTGAAAATAGACAAATGGGATAACATCAAGCTTAAAAGCTTCTGCATAGCAAAGGAAACAATCAAGTGAAGAGACAACCCACAGAATGGGAGAAAATATTTGCAAACTATTTATTTAACAAGGGATTAATAACCAGAATATTTTATATAAGGAGCTCAAACAACTCAATAGGAAAGCAAAAACAAAAACAAAAACAAAAACAAATAATCCAATTAAAAAATGGGCAGAAGATCTGAACAGGCATTTCTCAAAAGAAGACATACAAATGGCCAACTGGTATATGAAAAAATGCTCCTTATCACTAATCATCAGATAAATGCAAATCAAAACAATGAGATATCTCACCCCAGTGAGAATGGCTTTTATCAAAAAAAAAAAAAAAAAAAAAAAGCCAGGAACAAAAGATACTGGTGAGAATGTGGAGAAAGGGGAACCCGTGTGCACTGTTGGCAGGAATGAATATTACTAGAGCCACTGTGAAAAACTGTTTGAAGATTCTTCAAAAAACTAAAAATAGAACTACTATATGATTCAGCAATTCTACTATTGGGTATAGATCCAACAGAAAGGAAATACATATATCAAAGAGATATCTGCACTTCTATGTTTATTGCAGCACTATTTACAATAGCCAAGATTTAGAATTGACCTAAGTGTCCGCGCAACAGATGAATGGATAAAGAAAATGGGGTACATATACACAATAGAATATTATTCAGCCATAAAACCCTCCACAAAATCCTTTTATTTGCAACAAACATGGATAGAACTGGAGGTCATTATGATGAGTGAAATAAGCCAAGCACAGAAAGGCAAATAATGCATGTTCTCACTCATATGTGGGAGTTCAGAAAGTGGATCTCAGAGACTGAGAAGTATTGGGGGGGTGGGCCATGGGGGAGCAAGGGGAGGTAAACATACACTTAGAAGAAACATACACTTAGAAGAAATAAGACCCGGTGTTCCATAGATCAGTAGGGTGACTACAGCTAACATTTATCAATAGTACATGTCAAAATAGCCAGAAGAGAACAATTTGAATGTTCCTAGCACAAAGAAAAGATAAATATTTAAGGGGATGAGTAACCCAGTTATGCTGATTTGATTACAGAAATGAATCAAATTATCACATATACCCTGAAAATATGTACAGCTATTATGCATCAAAAAGTTGAAGAAAATAAAAATTTTAATTTTTTTGTATACAATGTATATTGCATATCATATATTGATTCTGTTCATATATAAGTAAATATCCTTACTGGTTTGCCTCATTGGAGCATTCAGACAGCAAATAATGTGTAGTTCAACATTTTATTAAATATTTTCCATCTTAGTGGATATTTTGTAACAAGATAAATATGATGCAAACTAAAAAAAGTGCCAAGGGCGGGCGCGGTGGCTCACGGCTGTAATCCCAGCACTTTAGGAGGCTGAGGCAGGTGGATCACAAGGTCAGGAGATCAAGACCATCCTAGCCAATATGGTGAAACCCCGTCTCTACTAAAAATACAAAATATTAGCTTGGCGCCCTTGTAGTCCCAGCTACTCGGGAGGCTGAGGCAGGAGAATCGCTTGAACCTGGGAGGTGGAGGTTGCAGTGAGCCGAGATCGCGCCACTGCACTCCAGCCTGGCGACAGAGCGAGACTCCGTCTCAAAAAATACATAAATAAATAAATAAAGTGCCATACTGAATCTACCAAAAATAAATCAAAATGAGTAAGAGAGGCTGCCAGACCATCTTCTTCATCAGAGGTAATGGTCAGAGGCTTCTGAACGTTGGTATGGAAATGAGCCTGCAGGCAGGATTTGTATGCAGGGAAGAGGAGGTTTGTAAACTAGGTGAATTATACCTTCAGAGTGCATATAATGTATATTATACTTTTCCTCTACGTATGCGTACCAGCCGTATTACCTATGTATCATCTGATCCACCAAGTCTGGACTGAAGAAGTCCTTGTAGGACCACACTACACATGGCGAGCCGGTACTCGGAAGGGATTATTCCGAAGAGGATTTGTAGACACTACCCGCTGTGTATGACCTAGGCCCTTTACACGGGCACCACTGGAGCTAGGAAGCCAGCAGAAAGCTCCTCCCCCTGGCCTGGGAGCGGGCTGTCCGTAGGACCCAGAGCACCTCCCATGGGAGAAACGCCCGGCTTTGCTTCTGGCCCCGCCCCGCCTCCCTCCAGGCCCCGCCCCGCCTCCCCGGCCCCGCCCCAACCCCGCGGCCCCGCCCCTCCTCCCCGGCTCCGCCCCGCCTCCCCGGGCCCGCCGCTCCTCGCGGCCTCCGCGTCTTCCTTCCGGGTCGCGCTAGGCCGGGCTTGCGGCGGTTGTGCCGCATCTAGAGAGTCGGGGAGCCGCCCCCGCACCCAGGCCTTCTCGCGCTGCCTGGTCGCTGGTGAAGCCCGCGGCGCGCGCCTCTCCCGGACCCTGCAGGGTACGGCCCTTCCTTTACTTCTCCCTCCCGTGGGTCTCTGTCTTCTTCCTTTGGCGCCGGGGCGGGGCCGGGGCCGAGCCAGCGCGCAGCTCCGCGCTTTGGGGAGTCTGGACGCCTGGCAGAGGCCCCCGCTGCCCGCCCCTCCCCGCCCGCGGCCCCGCGCCCCCGCGCCTCCGCTTCACGCTTGCGGGGCTTGCTGGGGCCCTTGAGAACTGCTGACGTGCCTCGGGCTCTTTCTACGCTACAGTCTGCCTGCAGGCTGTGAGGCGTCGTTCGGACGTGTGCGCGGCTCAGGGTTGTTTACACCGCGGGGGACTGCGGGTCGCCCCACACCCGCGCTCAGTGCTGCGCCGGCAGCCACGCGTCGGCCACATGCCCGCCTGTGCTTGTGATTCCTGTGCCTGCTGCCTTGATTTCCCTCTGACATCCGATGGTTTTTGCCTAACCAGGCCTGTTTTCTTTCTTCAGGACTGCTACAGGGTGCCCAGCTACAACCTTGTTTCTGTGTTTAGGTTTAGGGGTGCCCCTAGAGTGTGATGATGACCATCTACTTGGCCTCCTTGTCGACATATTTATAACGGGTGGTTTTGGATTTCCTTGATTTCCCAGTAATCATTGCCACAAACCTTCGAGATGCATTCACAGATTGAAATACAGTATACAAATAACTATTATAGAAGGTGAAGATGGTATAAGCCTGTGGTCAGGTAGTTGCGTTGGCAGGATGCCCGTCTGGCTTTGTGCTCCGGAGGGCACATTACCACCAGGTGCAGGGATCTCTGCTTGCTTTGGTCTGTTCACAGACACAAGCTGCCTTTTCTGGTTCTTGCGTGCACTCCTTGGTTTCTTAAGTTCAGCTATAGGTATATATTTTTTTCTTTCAGGCTCACTTCCTGCCTCCATTATCCTGTACCGCATATTGTATCTGTTGGTTGAGTAGAGAGAGATTCATCCAGAGTCATCAGCGCTCCAATAGTCCTTTATCAGATTAAGGACTTGAGGGAAATGTGCATTATGCTTTAGTAGGCACTCTAAAAGTTCCTTGAATTGGATTCTTCTTTCCATACTTATGTTCTGAGTACTAACTTTGTTTTAAACTTCTGCGCCAAAAGTTGGCTTTTCTGAACTCTGCATTTTCAAACTCTTCCCTTCTGTTATTTGAAAATCAGATAAGTCAACTCATTGTAAGATGGATAATTTCTTTACTCACGCCGTGATGAAATAATGCGATTATAGTACTCTGTACAATGGTACATATGGTACTTGCACATATGGTCAGTTAACAAAAACTGCCCCTTCTTTCTTTACTGTGTTAGTCTCATCCTCTTAATGTTGCTGCGGTTAACATTCTCGATCTTAACTTCGCGGATCTAACACAGTGTCCTTTAAAAAAGGCCTTTATCTACATGAATTGTATATAAATATCCACCTCCGTTTTCTTCTAGTATTGTTAATGATCTTATTTATATTTAATGTGAGATAAGAAGGCTCTAACTTTATAATTTTGTTAGTGACTCCATCATCATTTGTTGGAATTCTATTTTTCCCTGCTGATCAGTCCTATAAATACCATAGGCCCTAAATTCCCGTGTATTCTTGGGACTTTCTGAACGGTCTAGTATTCTTTGGCTCCCTGTGGTGATCCTGGCTTCTGTGATGCTCTTATTGCTCTAGGTTTATAATGTGTTTTAATATCTAGGGATTTGAACGATGCCTGGCATATTGTAGACATCACTAAATATTTTTGAAATGAACACATTTAGTGGGGGCAAGTTGATTCCCTTTCTTTACCTCTTGCCTCCCTCCCCCCTTTAAAATTTTCCTGCCAGTTATTGAGATTCATTTATTTTAGCTTGCTTTTTCCATGGTCAGTTGAATCATTAACTGTTAGTAAATAAATCCCTTCTGTTGCTCATTCAGAACTTGCGACTAGAGTTGCTCCTTACAGTTACATAGAGAAGCAGCCTGATTAAAAATCTGCATGCCTTTTGACTTTGCACCGTGTCATAGTAACTGTAGTGTGTCTCTCCCCATCACCTGTGATTTAGGATGTTCTGTACCTGGTTTCTAAGAGAAAAATGGTTATCTAAGAGATAAATGGCTGTAGAAGTGTTCCCTGGGATATGAGGAAGATATCCTCATATCCATTTGTATTTTACCATCACAACTGGATATCTAAAATATAATAAATTTTACACTGGACACTTAAAACTTTATTAGCCCATGAAATAAATGTATGCATTCTTTAAAAAAGATCAAGCAATACAGAAATCCTTAAAGGAGGAAGTGAAAGTGCTGTGTGCCCACCTACCCAGTAACCTTGTTCCATAAAGATGATCACTGCTTGCAGATTTTAAAAATAAATATATTTAAGTCTACTTTTGTTTCATAAATGGCAGTGTACCATCTATAATTTTCTATAGCTTCCACTTAATAATAATTGATAAACATCCTTCTGTGTCAGTGCATATAATAGTATCTTGTCTTTTTTGTAAGTCTTTTGGTATTTCATTGTAGGAATAACCCAAAAGTTATTTAGCCAGTCCCCTGTTGGCATTATTCCAAATTTATTACAAACAGAACTGCAAGGATCATTTTTGTGTTTATTCTGTATACTGTCATGTTTGCATGTTAGTTCATTTCCTAAGATATGGAATTGCTAGGTCAGAGGCTACACATAAGTGTTAAATTATGAGAGATTCTGCCAAAGTGCTCCTCAAAAGTTGTTGGTAAGAGTAAATTTATACAATTTGTTAAAATATTGCTTTTGCCATATCACATTGCCAAGAATTGTCAAGGATCTGAGATCATACCCTACTTGCAAGCTAACAGTTTCATGGAAACTGGCAGAAAATATGAGACTCCTGACTCAGAGACAAAGCACAACAGGAACGGTAGCCAGAGGATCATCTTATGCTGATTTGCTGGAACCCTGATTTCCACAGGGTGATGTGATAAGAGCCCAGTGACACTAGCAGATGAAGTAGGTTATGTTACAGGAGAGGAGTCCTTAGTTTAGGGAACCTGAATCTTTCATAGTGGGCTGCAAATAAAGCTGTCTGATCTTTGCCAGAGAGGGAGACATTATCTTTATTTTCCCACATGGTAAACAAACCTGCCCTCTGTACCAGAGGGAGACATCTCTTTATCTGCCAAGGCTATTTGCTATATAAACACCACTGAAAAGATAAAAAATAAAGGCCGTCAGTGCCTCTACTTATATGATATGCAGAAACTTGAGAGGCCTGCTAAGATGAAATGATTATTTTTTATATTTAGTAATTTTATGGATGAAAAATGCTATTTTATTGTTTTAGTATTGCATTTCTTTGCTTATTGATGAGGTTGACTATCTGTATGTTTGTTGGTCATTTGTATTCGTTTTTACTTGCATGATCATATCCCTTGCTTAGGTTTCTGTTGAAATGTTCCTCTTTTCTAATTGATTTGTAATAGCTCTTTACATATTGTGGCTATTAATGATTTGGTTCACCATTTGCTAGTATTTTCTCATAGTCTATTCTTTAGTGTTTCTTGGGGCTTTTGCTTTATAAAAATCTTTAATATTTATGTTGCCAGTTCTGCTGTTGTTTTCCTTTACGGCCTCTGGGTTTCCACCGGAAGATTATTAAAATACTCTTTGTACACATTCTGTTATCATAGATATAGATTTTTAAAAATGGTTGCTATGGCATACTATTACAAATTTATTTTTCCAAATTGCTGGACATTTTCCTAAAACATTTATTTTGATAAACTGTCCTTTCCCTGTTATTTGATTTGACACATTTGTTGTAAGATACTATATCCTTAATTTGTTGTTTTTCTCAAAGCCAACAAATTAGTAAGCAAAGTATGTTAGATGTTTACTGTGATTATGATTTTGGTTGAATTCAGCCTTAAAGATAATATGTGTAATTGTTCTTAGTGGATTTTATCTTAAAGAATATGAAGTATCTTTTTTGCCCTGTTTAGTGATTTTTTGGCTGGGAGTCTACATTGTCTTATATGACTTTTGCCTCTCTGTCAGTTTTGTGTGTACCTGATAGGTCTTTTTTGTCCATATGTTTATTATGTTTATTTTCAGTCATTTTACACCATTTTGCTTTACTTGCCTTTCATAAACATCAAACATTCATGTAACTGAGCTGAACTTTTATTTCTCCCTGAAATCTTCCCCCTTGCCAATTTGGAAGTTTGTCTTCTTTTTTTTTTTTTTTTTTTTTGAGACAGAGTCTTGCTCTGTCACCCATGCTGGAGTGCAGTGGTGTAATGTGTAATTTTGGCTCACTGCAACCTCCATCTCCTGGACTTAAGTGATCCTCCTGCCTCAGCCTCTCAAGTAGCCTGGACTGCAGGTGCATGCCACAATACCTGGCTAATTTTTGTGTTTTTTGTAGAGATGGGGCTTCACCATGTTGCCCAGGCTGGTCTCAAACTCCTGGGCTCAAGTGATCCACCCGCCTTGGCCTCCCAACGTGCTGGGGTTACAGGTGTGAGCCACTGTGCCCGGCCTGGAATTTTGTCCTTTTTTTTTTTGTTTTACATTTTATAAAACTTTTAAAAAAGATCATTGTAGATTCATATACAGTTGTAAGAAATAATACAGAGATCTAGATCCTGTGTACATTCACCCAGTTTCCACCTATGGTAACACCTTGCATAACTACAGTACAATATTATACTCAGGAAATTGACATTGATACAATCTATAGACCTTATTCAGATTTCACCAGTTTTACTTGTACCCATCCCTGTGCCTGTTTAGTTGTAAGTAATTTTATGTAGATTCCTGTGAACACTACCACAGTCAGAATATACAACAGTTCCATCACAAGGTTACCTTGTACAAAATTGGGTTTATCTCTTAATAGGACAATTTAATCTAGTCATATTAACTATTTTTTCCCCTCTCCTGCAAGTTTGGAAATTCTGAAACCATCTATAACTGACTCTTTTTTGCCCTCATTCTTCCCATTAATAAGTTGAGACCTGGATCTCTTGCCTTCTTTACATTCTTGGTTTTATTGATTTGATTTCTTTTCTATAGTTGTAATATTCTGTTCCCACATTGCTATAAAGAAATACCTGAGACTGGGTAATTTATAAAGTAAAGAGGTTTAATTGGCTCACAGTTCCACAGGCTGTACAGGAAGCATGGTGCTGTCATCTGCTAGGCTTCTGCGAGGCCTCAGGAAATTTACAATCATTGTGGCAGGCAAAGCAGGAGCAAGGGTCTTACATGGCAGGAGCAGAAGGAAGAGAGTGGGGGATGCGCTATATGCTTTGAAACAAAAAGATCTCTTCAGAACTCATATGAGAACACCACTAGGGGCATAGTGCTAAACCATGAGAAACCACCCCCATGATCCAATCACCTTCCAGGCCCCACCTCCAGCACTGGGGATTACATTTCACTGTTAGATTTTGATGCAGACACAGATGCAAACCATATCAGTAGTTCTTCTGTTTGTTTGTTTTTTTCTAACCATTTTTTAAAATTTTGCTAGTATCGTATCACTTAGATTTAACTATAAGGTCACTGTTACTTGAATAGTATGTCTTCCCTGTTTTTGAAGTATTTAATTCTGTTGTTTTTTTTTTTAACTGGCATACATTTTTAAGTAATAGTTTCAGGAAGAGTTATGGGAAGTATACTTGCATATCTAGAATATTTTTTATTTAATTTTGTTTTTTCTATGTGAATAAGAGTTTGAGCCATTTTTTTTTTCCTTTAGAATTTCCTTGAACTTAAATTAGCTTCAGTCTTTATCTTATATAGATGTTAGGTTTCTTGTATATGTGCTCTAGGTCATTTATTTGTCTCTTAATTTTCAATTTATTTCAGTCACCACCTCTTCTAAGAATTTTTTTAAGTTAGTTTGTGCTTATTTCATGGATCCTATAACCTATTAATTAACACTA
The DNA here is from genome assembly GCF_000001405.40 of Homo sapiens. NCBI lineage: Eukaryota > Metazoa > Chordata > Mammalia > Primates > Hominidae > Homo > Homo sapiens. The sequence continues at coordinate 98,941,880 of NC_000006.12, read as the reverse complement.
AACAATGATTTTTAAAAAAAACTATTGTCCTAATTTTGGCTTTAACTTTTCCTGAATGCCATTTGCTGTAATTGCTTAACTTGTTTCCCTGTCTTTAAAATGGTTAATTCTATTCAGACATATAAATGCAGATCTATGTTGACCATCTTGGTCCTGGTCTGAAGTATTTCATGTCATGAAGGTCACTATTCTGTTTTCCAGACAGGTAGTTTCCTAAGGCAAGATGAGTGGTTGGGGCTGTGTGAGCAGGCTTTGCCCTGGGCAGAACAAGTGGGCAGAACATGCCAACTAGTAGATATCTTTAAAGAGAACAGACAAGTAAGCTAGCGTGTGCATAACCAAATCAATACTAGAGTATCGGATTTACAGCTTGACTTGTTTTGACTGAAAACAAAAGCACACAGAACAGTTACATCATCCTAAAAATTCCTTGTGTGGCCCCTTTGTGGTTACTTTAGTCAATTTCTCTTTCTTCCCTTAACCCTGGGCAATCACTGATTTATCTGCCTTTCCTATTTGCCTTTTCCAAAGTATCACATAAATGAAATCATACAATATGTAGTTTTTGCATCAGACCTCTGTCACTTAACAAAATGCATTTTAAGATTCATCTATATTATTGCCTGGATTGGTGGTTCTTTCTTTTTTTTTTTCCTGAGTAGTAACTCATTGTATGGATGTAACACTGTACATGCATCTGTCAAGGACATCTTAGATGTTTCCAAGTTGCAACAATTATGAATAAATCTGCTATAAACATTTGTATACAGGTTTTTGGTTGGATGTAGGTTTTCAGTACACTTGAGTAAATACCTCGGAATGGGATTGCTGGATGGTTTGGTAAGGGCGGATGGACCTTTATAATAAACCGTGAAACTGTTTTTCAAAGTGGCTATATGATTTTGCATTCCCACTAGAAATGTTTGCAGAATCTAATTTGGTATCTTAAAATTTGATTAATTTGTAGTTAACTCTTCCCAGGTCTTCCCTTAAGAGCAAATACTTCCCAGGTCTAAGATGAAATACTTTCTCAGGGTTTACTCTTTTGAAACTGTACTTGATCTTGCTCTTCGGTAATATGTTTGCTAGGACATGTACAAGTATCCCATAAGAGAAAAAAAGATATTTTCAAGTAGATGAAAAGGCAAGCACAGACTGGGAGAAAACATTTGCAAAAACATCTGTCTAACAAAGAAATTGTATCTAGTGTGTGTAAAGAACTCTTACAACTCCATAGTAAGGAAACAACAACAAAAAAAAGATTAGAAAATAGACACTGCACTAAAGAAGATATAAATGGCAAATAAGCACGTGAAAAGATGTTCCATGTCATTAATCAATTAAGAAATTCAAATTAAAACCACAGGGTATCACCACCCACCCACTAGAATGGATGAAGATTGACAATATTAACTATTGATGAGGATGTGGAGCAACTGGAACTCTCATATGTTGATGTCAGAATGTAAAATGCTACAGCCACTTTGGAAATGGCTTGATACTAGAAACAAGCCAAATGTTTAGCAACAACTGAATTGATATACCAATGTAGCTGACCCTTGAACAACATGGGTTTGGACTGTGAAGATATGCTTATATGCAGTTTTTTTCAATAAATATAGAAAAATTTTGGAGATTTGCAACAATTTGAAAAACTTGCAAATTGTGTAGCCTAGAAATATCAAAAAAAGGTATTTCACAAATAAATAAAATATATGTAGATACTAGTCTATTTTATAATTTACTGCCATGAATAGCACACATATATATTATAAAAAATTAAACTTTTTCAAAAGGTAGTCACACACTTACAGAATGTACATGCTTCCATTTGCAGTTCAGAGAAATGTAAACAAATGTAAATTCAGTATTAAATCATAACTGCATAAAATTAGCTGTGGTACATACTGTACTACTGTAATAATTTGATGATCACCTCCAGTTACTATTGCAGTGAGCTTAAATATTGCAGGTATCAGCTTCCAATGCTGTGTGAAGCTAATCATCGACACATGAGCAGTTTGTCTCTAGTAAATTGTGTATTACAGTAAGAAGTGATTTCTTGTGATTCTCACGTATTTTTCATCATGCTTAGTGTAATACCATAAACTTTGAATAACACCATGGGACCCTTAGAAAGTGCCACTGGTAATGTCGGAAGTGATTCCAAGTAGCAGCGAGAAGTCATGACATTACAAGCAAAAATGGAATTGCTTGTTATGTACCATAGATTACAGTCTGCAGCTATGGTTACCTGTCATTTCAAGATAAACGAATCCAGCAAAAGGACCACTGTGAAAAAAGAAAAGAGAATTTATGTAGCTGTTGCTACAACTATACCAGCAGGTGCAAAACCTTGCACTTTTTGTGAAATACCACTTTATCTCATATTGAAAATGCAGTTCTTATGTGGGTGCAGGATTGCTATAAGAAAGACATGCTTGTAGACTCTAATATGATTTGAGAGAAAGTGAAGTTAATGTATGACAGCTTAAAGCAAAAAGAAGGTGAAGGATAGAAAGCTAGAGAATTTAATGCCAGCAAAGGATGGTTTGATAATTGTAGAAAGAAGTTTGGCTTTATGTATGTTAAGATAACAGGAAAGCAGCTGCTACTGTTCAAGAGGCAGCAGATGATTTCCCAGATACCATTAAAATAATTGAGGAGAAAGGATATCTGCTTAAATGGGATTCTTTCTCTCTCTCATTTCATTTCGTTTCGTTTCATTTCATCTCCCTTCCTCCCTCCCTCCTGTCTTGTCTTTTCCTTTCTCTTCTCTTTTTTTTTTTTTTTTTTTTTTTTTTTGAGACAAGGTCTTGCTCTGTCACCCAGGCTGAAGTGCAATGGCATGATCACAGCTTACTGTAGCCCCAGCCTCCTGAGGTGGAAACAGTCCTCCCAAATAGCTAGGATTACAGGTGCACACCACCACACTTAGCTAATTTTTTATTTTTTATTTTTGTAGAGGCAGGGTCTCCCTATGTTTCTTAGGCTGGTCTTAAACTCCTGGTCTCCAGTGATCCTTCTGCCTTGGCCTCCCAAAGTACTGGGATTACAGGCATGAGCCGCTGTGCCCAGCCTCAGTCAGGTTTTGAATGCAGACAAAGTGCCCTATTCTGGAAAAAAAAAATGCCACAAAAGACATTTATTATTAAAGAAGTAAAGCAAGCACCAGGATTTAAGGCAGGAAGGGATAGACTAACTCTGGTGTTTTGTGCAAATGTATCTGGGTTTATGATCAAGACTGCTTATTTATAAAGCTACTAACCCCCAGCCTTAAAGGGAAAAGGTAAATGCCAGTTATCAGTCTTTTCGTTATGTAACAGGAAGGCCTGGACAATCAGAGTTCTTTTTCTTGATTGATTTCATCAATGCTTTGTCCCTGAAGTCAGGAAGTATTAATACCTTGCTATAAGGGACTGCCTTTTAAAGTTCTTTTGGTATCAGACAATGTCCCTGGCCACCCAGAACTCCACGAGTTTAACACTGAAGGTGTCGAAGTATATTCCACATGTCCCCAAATGCAATGTCCCTAATTCAGCCTCCAGATCAGGGGGTTGTAAGGAACTTTAAGGCTTACTATACATGGTACTCTATGGAAAGAACTGTGAACTCTATGGATGAGAACCTCAACAGAGAGAACCTGTAAGTTTGGAAGGATTACACCATTGAATATGCCATTGTTACAGAAAAAACTGTGAAGGCCATCAAGACTCAAACAATAAGAAAACTAAAGAAAACTCTACCAATAGTGTACATGACTTCACAGGATATATGACAGAACCAATCAAGGAAATCATGAAAGAGATTGTAGATAGGGCAAAAAAAAAAAAAAAAAAGGGTGCAGGGGGAGGAGGATGAAGGGTTTCAAGATATGGATCTTAGAGAAATTCAAGAGCTAATAGACTCCACACCAAAGGAGTTAACAGAAAACAACTTGGTGGAGACGAGTGTTTCTGAATTAGTGCCAGATGACGAGGAAGAAGACATAAAAGAGGCAGTGCCAGAAAACAAATTGACATTAGACAATTTGGCAGAAAGTTCCAATTATTCTGGACAGTTTTGACTTCTTTTACAACATGGACCCTTCTATGACATGGACACTGAAACTAAAGCAAATGGTGGAAGAAGGATTGGTACTGTATAGAGATATTTTTGGAGAAATGAAATAGCAAAAAGTCAGGCAGAATTTATAGTATATTTCCACAAAATTGCACCGAGTGTGCCTGCCTCTCCTGCCTCTTTTTACACCTCCTCCATCACTTTCACCCTGTATCCTGAAATGGCAAGGACCACCCCTCCTCTTCCTCCTCCCTTCTCAGCCTACTCAACATGAAGATCAGATCGAAGACCTTTGTGGTGATTCACTTTCACTTAATGAGTAGTCAATATATTTTCTCTTCCTTATGATTTTGTTAACAGTACTTTTCTCTAGCTTACTTTATTATAAGCATAAATTATATAACTTACAAAATATGTTAATCAACTGTTTATGTTATTGGTAAGCCTTCTGGTCGACAGTAGCCTATTAGTAAAGTTTTGGGTGAGTCAAAAGTTATATTCAGATTTTTTTTTTTTTTTGAGACGAAGTCACCCAGGCTGGAGTGCAGTGGCACAATCTCGGCTCACTGCAACCTCTGCCTCCCAGGTTCAAGTGATTCTCCTGCCTCAGCCTCCTGAGTAGTTGGGATTATAGGTGTGTGCCACCACAACTGTTTAATTTTTGTATTTTTAGTAGAGACAGGGTTTTTCCCTATTGGCCAGGCTGGTCTCAAACTCCTGACCTCTGGTGATCCACCTGCCTCAGTTTCCCAAAATGCTGGGATTACAGGCATGAGCCACTATTCCAGCCTATATTCAGATTTTTTTACTGCATAGGGGGTCAGTGCCCCAATCCCATACATTGTTCAAGGGTCAACTGTATAATGGGATTTGATTCAGAATAAAAAGGAACTGAACTACTCTTAACACATAGCATCATGGGTAAATCTGGAAGATAGACTGAACAAAATAAGCTAGACACAAAATAATACAGTTGATCCTCAAACAACATGAAGGTTAGGGGTGCCAATCCCCCATGCAGTTGATCCAGCTATAATTTTTTACTCCCCATAAGCTTAACTACCACTGAATAGCCTATGGTTGACTGGAAGCCTTACTGATAACATATACAGTTGGTTAATATATGTTTTATATGTTATATGTATTGTATACTGTATTCTTACAATGAAATAGGCTAGAGAAAGAAAATATTAAGAAAATCATGAGGAAAAGAAAATATATTTACTCCTCATTAAGTGGAAATAGGTCATCATAAAGGTATTCATCCTCATTGTCGTCATGTTAAATAGACTAAGAGGGAGGAAGAGGATGGGTCAGTCTTGCTGTTTCAGAGATCGCAGAGACAGAAGAAAAGGCACATATAAGTGGACCCACACAGTTCAAACCTGTGTTAAGGGTTAGCCATACATACCATATTATTTCACTTTCATATAATTCTGGAATAAAGGACAATCTGGTTTGTAGTGACAGAAAGCAGATCAGTTTTTGCTTGGCATAGGTTGTGGATGGGTGATTGACCAGGGATCCTTTTAGGCTAGTGGTAATATTCTGTATCTTGATTTTGGTGGTGGTTATGTTGGTTTCTGTCATTGTCAAAACTCATCAAATTATATGCTTAAAGTGGGGTACATTTTATACTAAAGTTAATTTAACAGTATTACACCATTTTAATTAGTTGCTATTTTAGCTATAATGGCAAGCTATGACAGGTGTATTGTCCTTGGATTTTTGTTTGGCAGGGTGTAAATCCACTATATTTTTTTCTAGGTAAAATGTTCTCTATGTTAATGTACAAAAATATATGGCTAGTATTTGGCTAAAGTAAATTCACATAATTAGTATGACTTTAACAAACAAAATATCATTTTTTCTTTCTTCAGTAAGTTCCTTAAATTTATCCTCAGCCAGATATCTCCAATTTTTAATATTTTAGTTAAATATCATTGCATATCTGCTAAAGATTTAGGGTTATTCCAGAGTCACAGTTCTTCTCATTCAGATGCCTTATTCTTTTTTTTTTTTTGAGACGGAGTCTCGCTCTGTCGCCCAGGCCAGACTGCGGACTGCAGTGGCGCAATCTCGGCTCACTGCAAGCTCCGCTTCCCGGGTTCACGCCATTCTCCTGCCTCAGCCTCCCGAGTAGCTGGGACTACAGGCGCCCGCCACCGCGCCCGGCTAATTTTTTGTATTTTTAGTAGAGACGGGGTTTCACCTTGTTAGCCAGGATGGTCTCGATCTCCTGACCTCATGATCCACCCGCCTCGGCCTCCCAAAGTGCTGGGATTACAGGCGTGAGCCACCGCGCCCGGCCCAGATGGCTTATTCTTACCCATCGTTAAACACTGAAGAAAAAGGTAATATATAGGTAATATAACAGTGGAATCTATTTCTAAGTTATGTTGTATCATCGTACCTGTGTAATTAGAAACATATCCTTTCTTTTCACTTTGTGAGATAGCATGTTGGGCAGGAAGAGGGTTTCCAGATCCATTATATCAGAAAAAAAAAAAACAAAAAACCATTCCACTCATCCTATAGCTCTACTTAAAAAAAAAAAAAAGATTCCTTCAGTTCCTTTTTCTGCTTTTCTTGCTACTAAAGATTGATTATGAAATATTTCAGAAGTTTAGATATGCTTGTTAAAGAAAGTCTAGGAAAGAAAGAACATATTCTGCAGAAGTAACCTTTCTCAATTCCTAGTTTAAATTGGTTCTAAATCTTATCTCTTGTTTTCTGATAAATTCATTCCTACTTGACTTCTTGGGTACCTCTTGCTTAGTTCCTGCCCTTTATTCATTAACTCACCAGAGGTTTTTGCACAGTCTAATGTATTCCAGACTTTTTGGATTATTTCCTTGCATTTTTGAGATCTACCTTGATTCCTCGAAGAGAGTGGTACTGTTTACCTCTGGTTTTTGAGATTTTTGCTCTGCTTTTAGATTTTTCTTCCTGGCCTGGTTCCCTTGCCTTCTCCATTTGCTTCATTCGCTTGGATTTTCAAGAAGCTTTGAAGCTGGATAGGAGTCTCCAGTCTTCCTCTTGATCCATATGTTTCAGGTAAGAACGCCACCTATTTTTTCTACTTTGGGGCCTTACTGATTAAAAAATACAGTCATAATAAAAATGTTTTAACTGGGGAAGAATTTACTTAGAGTAAGAGAGAGGCATATAAAGCCTTAAGATACCATCCTGAGTAGTTTCCATGCTGACACTGTTAGATTTTTTCAATGTTAGTTTTTTAAGATCTAGTACAATTAGAATATCAATAATTATGATGAAGAAAAAGCAGAGCTTTTTCTAATGCTTGGCCTTTGCTCCTTTATATCACATCTAATACGAGAACAATATTAAGCTGTCTTATTACCTTTGCTGTTATATTACGGCCTGTCTCTTCTGTCTCTCTCTCTCTTTTTTTTTTTTGAGACGGAGTCTCACTCTGTTGCTCAGGTTGGAGTGCAGTGGTGCGATCTTGGCTCACTGCAACCTCCGCCTCCCGGGTTCAAGCCATTCTCCGCCTCTTCTCTCTTAACTTGTAGGTTATCTCTTTAAGAAATTCTTTTTCAGCCATAGTTTTTCCAGTTCTCCATAATCAACGTACTGTTTTAACACAGATTTGGAGTGCAAAAACATCATTGTATTTGAGGAAATGGCTTTCTTTTACCTCTCTAATCATCTCTTTCATGAATCTTTCTTTAATTTCAATCAGAGTTTCTTTGTGACCAGAGTCAAGACTCTTTTATGTATTCAGAAGCTGCTTTTGTACTAACAGAAGTTACTACTTTTTTCATTCTCTTTGAACAGTAAAATTTCAATATATGTACTATTCCTTCTTGGATGGCTTCAAAGAAGTTCATACATTTGATTCTTACCTATTGCGCTTCAATTTTTATTACCCGTTTCCTCTCTTTATCTCTGTATCAAGATATGGAACATTTCTTGTGTCATTTTTTGGTTTACATGTGCCTTAGGAAGAGTTGCTGGTTTCATCTCTGTGTTTATTTTAAACTTATTCATTTTAATTCTCTTATGCCATCTACTCTTCCAGTCTCCGTAAAACAACAGATGTTTATTGAGCATATATTGGCATGTGCTAGACTCTAAGGGTATGGTTATAATTAAGGCATGTTCTCCGAACTTGGGGAGTTCATAGTCTATTCAGGTAGAGAAATATTTCAGCATGTAAGAAATAGCAAATAATACGAACATATAAGAGCAGAGGAAAGGTGCATGGTAGATAAAGTATGAACCTGACCTTGAAGGATGAGTAAGAGAGTGCCAAGCATTGGAAGAGAGGGGGCATTCCAGAGCCATCCAGCCTCAGTTGAAGATTTCAGGATGCTGAGGCATGAAAGCAGGAGTGCTGCTGAGGGCATGGTGGAGGTTCTGGTGGGTCTACAGCAAGGGTAGTGGGTGTGGACATGAAAGGGAAGGGGAAGGCGGGCTCAAAGTTAGATAGAATGTTCTTGTATATCATGTTATCAAAAAGACAGCCTTCCTTTAATGGTACCTCTGTGTATATGAGAAGAATTAGGAAGAAGAAAACCTGGGAGGAGACTGAGAAGTTACCAGAGGCAAGAGGGGGCATAAGAGCACAAGTTGGTGTAAAAGCTAGAGGGGGCCAGCCAGGAAAGAGAGCTGATAGGAATTTCAGATGCTACATCAAATTCACATTATCATTCCCCTCTTTTCTCCATTGATGCTTTCTTTCATTCCCCTGTTTTGATTTCTAGATTCAACCAGAAAAGTCCTTCCTCAGAATAGTATGTCTTGATCAGTTTCAGCAGGATTCAGAAATAATGAGCATTTAAGGGTTGGCCTTTTTTCTTGATTCATTACCACATTGAGCATTCTAATTACATTTTGGTACTATGTAGCAAAGCTGTCTAAACTTGCTTTTTTTTTTTTTTTCTATGACTTCATTGACATGTCTCTGTGGGCTCTTTTGCAAGTAAATATTGTGTTACAATTTGCCTTGTATGTATGCCTGTGCCTTATTGCCTGTCCTTTTTGTGTTTTTCCATGTTTTTTCACTGTAGTATAACTTGAGAATAATCCTCTTTTGAGTTTTAAACTTGTTTTCAGGTTCTTTCATCTCACTGTGAACCTAGCCTTTACGCTGTCCTGGCTCTGGTTCATTCTGATTGCTGCCTTTGTTATTTTATTAACAGTCCTTTTCCTTCCTCTTTTTCCCTTCGAAGTACAAGCCGACTTCTCGGCAGCTCCTGCCATCCTGCTTCTCTCCGCCTCATCGATTCCCCATCTCACTTCAAATCTCAGTAGGAAACATATGTTCTCCCTTGTCTATACCTCTTAATTTCTCTTTTCCACTATTACTGCTTTCTCTGTAATTGTATTATTTAACTTCGTTAAGCATTTTATAATATGGAAGATGTGGTTTAAACCTAAGTTGTATTATAATAAAATCATGTTGTATAAAAGCAAGTTGTTTCCTAAGGAGTATGAAAGTCTCATGATACAAGTTAAAATGGCTGTTGTTTTGGTATTCCTTGATTGTGCTAGTATAAATGTTCAGTGTAGAGAATTTCTCACTTCATAGTCATTGCTTATCAGTGATTGGATTAAGCAACAAATGAAATGAAGATCCCCCTAATTCTGACTTATTCTAAATGGAAAATAATATTTTTATATGTTGTGAGTCCTTAAAGTAGCTTTTTGAATGAACAAAAAAAGAAAATGTCTCCCAGAAGATCCATTTTATAATCACTCTTTTGGACAAATTAAGTGTTCCTGACTAATATTTATTTATTTGCACCAGGTGGGAAAAATAATTTTATCTTTGAATCCCATTCTCCTTATAAAATAGAGTTATTGTATCTTTTACACTTGGTTCATTGCCCATAGGGATATTCATTGGTTACCACAAATTGCCTCCATGCCTTGGCAAAAGTCCAGACAGCGCCTGGACAATTTGGACTTCTGCATTGGTCGTAGCTCTCCACATGAGTCCTGAGACAATGGCTCCATTCCCTTTTTCAGCTTCATTTCCCAGGGAAAAGTAGAGAGAGCTATCCTTTCTTCTCCATATGTTCTTCCCCACCCCTAAAACACTTTTATGTGTCATCTTAGCAGATTGGAAAGGAGTTTAGAATCAATGAAGGACGTTAGCAATGGGTTTGTACATTTCTCTTTTTTATTTCTATGCCTTGCTTATTTTCAAAAACAGGTTTTAACTTCTATAACATTTTCCAAATAGCACTGCTGGAAAAAGAATAAATATATTTGCTTTTTTGGTATATCAGACTCTGCATTTCCTTCCTTTAAAAATTTCTTTTGCCATTTTTAACTTTATTTCCTGAAAAAATTAGCATTAAATATTATTTTTATCCATAGTTGAAAAAAACTAAAGCATCCATTTTACATTTCTATATTGAAGAAGTTTGAACATATAACACATATATTTACAGTTTATAACTCACTTTTACATATGTTGCCTCAATGCAAAATTTTGCTTAACTTTAACACAGCTTAAACATAATATTGCCCATATGACAGTCTTGCTTTTGATATTATCTTATAATCTACAATGGTAAAAGCTGGGAAACAGTTTCAAAGTTTGTAGCTTGGTATGTCAAACAGAATTTGACTTTCACAATTTGTCTAAAATCTTTTTGCCAAAAATGCACAACACAGTTTTATAAAGAAAGGGGGAGGAGCTTAGTTGAAGCAATTTATAGACCGTGGAGTGAGAAGTGATGTCCAGAGATTAAGCAGTCAACTTATTCATCCACTGTGGCAGATGGTTTTCTGTCCTTCCCTTGATGGTTTCCAGGAATAACACATCCATAGTCTTCTAAATTAGCTGATTTGTCAATTGATTTGAATACATGTTATAGGTTGTTCTTTATTTCCTAAATTTTATTTTTGCAGTTTAACTTGTTAATTCTTTTTCTTTTTGAAAAGAGAATAGTCAACTTCTTTGGAAAATGGTTCTTAATTTATCTGCAGCCCTATTTTGAAATAAAGTGTATATGGTAAAAGAAAGATTTGTACCATTTCAATTTTTTTTGTTAAGGATTGAGACTTGAATGGCAAAAAGTTGTCTGTCTGTTTTTGAGACGGGGTCTTGCTCTGTGGTCCAGGCTGGAGTACAGTGACACGATCATGACTCACTTCAGCCTTGAACTTCTGAGCTCAAGTTATCCTCCAGCCTCAGCCTTAAATATATATATTTTTTAATTTGACAAATTTATACTTGTGGTAGGTGAAATGTTTGAATAAAGAAGTAATATAACAGGTAGTTATTTTTCCCCCAATTATAACATGACATACTTCAGTACTTGCTATTATATGTCCTGAGGTGAATCTGGTTCATTGACTCATGAGCACATCCATTAAGTGTGTGTTACAGAAACACCTTATTTATTTATTTGTTTGTTTGAGACAGGGTCTGGCTCTGTCACCCAGGCTGGAGTGCAGTGGTGCAATCTCGGCTCACTGCAACTTCCGCCCCGGCGGGCTCAAGTGATTCTCCCACCTGGGCCTCCCAAAGTGCTGGGATTACAGGTGTGAGCCATCATGCCCAGCCTATTTATTTTAATATATGCTTTGTTGCCCTTCTTTGGAAAAAGTCTTATTCTGGTTATTCTGTTATTTCTTGTTCTTGTGCTGCAAATCCCTCCATTTGGTGAGTCCACTGACTATCTCTCATCATGGTTCATTTTCTATTCTGGTCTGTAACTTTTTACTGTGATGCATCATTAGTAAAGGTTTAGTCTGTTGTATGTTTTGGAAGCATTCCTGCAAAGAGTTTTCACATTTGCTCTTACCAGGTCCTAAAGTTTTACCAGTTCAGGACTACTTTTCTTTTTTCAGTTTTTGGCATGAGGATAGGGTGGGATTCTAAACCATGAAGGTTGTGTGAATTTAGGCCCACACTCTATGCATGGTTCATGCCTCATATGGTTCTGATTTCCTCTGGTGACTTTCCCCCCATTGCCTTAGTTGATGTCATGCCTACTTGGGTTTCCTGGCCAGTAAGCTAAGTTTTTATAGTCCTGGTTTCATGGATAGGGTGATCCTTTCAGAGTTTTGACTTTATGAAGGTCCTTCCAACTGTGACCTGTGTCTTTAAATAACGTCTCTGAATGGGTGTTAGGGAGTCCCCTTGTAACCATTATGGCCTGTAACTGGTTCCATGAGTCATGTTAGCTTCAGCCCCTGACCTCTGTTCATTGACTTTCTTTTTTCTGCTCATTGACTTTCTTTCTTTCTTTTTTTTTTTTTTTTGAGACGGAGTTTTTCTCTTGTTGCCCAGGCTGGAGTGCAATGGCATGATCTTGGCTCACTGCAATCTCCACCTCTTGGATTCAAGCGATTCTCCTGCCTCACTCTCCCGAGTAGCTGGGATTACAGTCATGTGCCACCATGCCTGGCTAATTTTATATTTTTAGTAGAGACGGGGTTTCTCTGTGTTGGTCAAGCTGGTTTCAAACTCCTGACCTCAGGTGATCCACCTGCCTCAGCCTCCCAAAGTGCTGGGATTACAGGCGTGAGCCACCATGCCCAGCTAACTTTCTTCTTAGTTTCTTACTACTGTGGATTCTCTGCACTTCTTTCAAGTTCAGTTATTTAAGTAGTGTTTCAGTGCTTATATTTTTAAATATTTCATTGTGTTTGGATCTGTTTGGGTTTGAGAGGCAAAAGGATGCTGTTATACAATTTAAAATTATTTTAGATTTTTATAATTTTTAATTTGCTCATCACCTATCAACATGTCAAATATTTTGTGCCTATTATGTACTGTGTACTTTGAGAAATAAAGATCTTTGGCTAGATTCCCTCCTTCAAGAGACTTATTCCTAATATAAACCCTAGTGGAACTAAGGTATATATCTCATAAAAATGCAGTGCCAGTAGGTATCAGAAAGTAAGGCTACTGATGTGGAAAAAAGTGGTTGGAAAAGAAATGATAGAGGAAGCGAGACTTAACGTAAAATACGAAGAGTGGTTAGAACTTGATTGGGTTTGCTGGGTTAGACAAGAAGAGATTGGTCCAGCTTGAAGAGAGCCTTAAAATACCAAACCAAATAATTTAGATTATATCTTGCAGATAAGAAAAAGGCATTGGAGGTTTTTCAGTGGAAGGGACATTTAGTGCAAATAATGTTTTATAATCTTAGTGCTGAAGTTTTGGAAGACTAGTGCATTGCTCTATTAAAGAAAAGTTGGGGCAGGGCGTGGTGGCTTACACCTGTAATCCCAGCACTTTGGGAGGCCGAGGCAGGCAGATCACCTGAGGTCAGGAGTTCGAGATCAGCCTTGCTAACATGGTGAAACCCTGTTTCTACTAAAACTACAAAAAATTAGCTGGGCATGATGGTGTATGCCTGTAGTCCCAGCTACTCAGGAGGATGAGGCATGAGAATCGCTTGAAACCAGGAGGCAGAGGTTACAGTGAGCCGAGATTGCGCCAGGGCACTCCAGCCTGGGCGGCAAGAGAGACACCCTGTCTCGAAAAAAAAAAAAGAAAAGTTGGTACATCTCCCTTCTTAGAAGTTAAACTCAAGACTTTACAGGTACAAAAATAAGTTTGTTTTATAGTTCCTTGTTGTCAACAAAAGTTTACCTACTCAATGAGGATGGGCCCCAGCCTATGTTGTAAATGAGTGGAGCTGGCTGGGAACGAGAGTGGCCACTGAGAGAGCTCATGCCTCTTGGGATCTTGTTGATTGTTAAAGGTTACAAACTAGATCAAATTTTTAAAAAACACTGTTTGGCCTCAGTGAAATATGTATACAAACATAGTTTGAAACAAAAGCTGTGAGTTTGCAACCTCTTTATAGATAGCGTTCATTATTAAATCTTTATTATATTCTATCATAACATTTAAAAAATACATTATTTAAAATTGTGTACAAAATAGAAAAATGTGGCCTGTTTGATTTGAAGGGTTGAATAAGTGGCTATTTATAATTTTGGATATTTTGACTTTGTGACTTGGACATAAAAATATTTTCCAAAACTCTTTTCTTACAGGTAAAAGAATGTCACATGTCAGCATTTGTACCTGAAGTCAGCATGCAAAGTTCAGGGTACCTGGATGAATGCCAACTTTTGCATTTCCCATGTGTATCCTGTGACCATTCTATCTGGGGTGAGTGATTTCTAAGAGTAGCTGGCAACAAACCAGATGCCAGCCAGCCATGGACTGCCCTAACAAATAATGCTAGGAGTTATAAATTAAACACTGATCTGTGATCTGTGATGTGTAAGGCAGTTAATGTAGTTCATCTGGATTAACTGTCAGCACCAAAGAACTATATTCCCATAATGTGAAATCTGAATTCTGTATGTTTGAAAGAGAGTAATAATTAACAGTAGGGAATTTTTGTTAACATGTAAAATTACAGCAATGTCTAAGATTATTTTGAATTTACAGCAGTATTTTAGTGGTTCACCATATAATTTAAATAATTTTAATTTTCAGATTCAAAGACTTAGTATTTCTTGAGTGATGGTTATAATTTTGTATAAAATACGGCTTTTTGGATTGTATATCTTCCAATTGCCTTATAATATAGTTTTGCTTCCCATATTGTATGCATAACAATATTTAGGTTTCTTAAAAATACATTAGAAAATTTATTTATACCAGACTTCACATTTGTATTTTAAAACTTGTTTTTTTAGTTTCATTCTGAGAAATTACATTGAGGGTAGAGCCTGTTCATTACCTTATCCATGCATTTTTCTGCTTATTTAAATTATTTTACTTCACCAAGCCATTCATTTTTTTAGAACATCCTTCAAAGAGTTCATGCATCTTACTGAGGACACCTGACCTTTTGAAGCTTCATAATTCACATCTAGATGTCACCGGTCTTTCCCATGTTAACAGTTCTGACCATGTTTTATTATATATGCCTTCGGCGCCGAGCCAGGACAGCTACAAGAGGAGAAATGATGAACACCCATAGAGCTATAGAATCAAACAGCCAGACTTCCCCTCTCAATGCAGAGGTAGTCCAGTATGCCAAAGAAGTAGTGGATTTCAGTTCCCATTATGGAAGTGAGAATAGTATGTCCTATACTATGTGGAATTTGGCTGGTGTACCAAATGTATTCCCAAGTTCTGGTGACTTTACTCAGACAGCTGTGTTTCGAACTTATGGGACATGGTGGGATCAGTGTCCTAGTGCTTCCTTGCCATTCAAGAGGACGCCACCTAATTTTCAGAGCCAGGACTATGTGGAACTTACTTTTGAACAACAGGTGTATCCTACAGCTGTACATGTTCTAGAAACCTATCATCCCGGAGCAGTCATTAGAATTCTCGCTTGTTCTGCAAATCCTTATTCCCCAAATCCACCAGCTGAAGTAAGGTAAGACTAATTTTTTAATGACCTAAGTTATATGGTAGAAAGGTTTTGGTTGTTAATATTGGAGATCTTTTTTATTGCAAGCATTCTTTTAAGTAACTTAATTGAATTTGATTTTGAAAATTTTCCTTAGTTTTCTGATGGGGAAGAGAGATCACTCATATAAAGATTTAATTCAGGCTTTATACCTGTAATACCTCATACTGTAATATTCATGGCTTATGATATTTGTATCTCATAAAATTTACCAAAACCAAAAAGCACAATTTGAACTCATAGGGACATGGGCCATTCTGGGACGTTAGTACGAAATATGACTTTGAAAATATTTTCAAACAGGCATCATGTTACTACTTTTAAATCTTTTCAACAACTCACAATAGGCCTGTGAGTGACACTTCAGAGGAGGTCCTTAGGGGATTTGGTTTAACGTTAGTTGAATGTTTTTGCAACACCCATATTCATTTAAAAATCAATGTTGCTTTAAGTAATTCATGCATTCTCCCTACAAGCCTGTTTTGCATAACAGCTCCTTGGCTGTCGTTTTTGTCATTCAACCTCCTAATTTTACAAAATATTAATATAATGCAGTCTCACATGTACCCTGTTCTCCATGTGCCTAGGACCCATTCCTCCCTCGAAGAAACCACTTTTATCAGCTCATTTTGTATCTTTCCAGAATTTCTTTGTGCAGACACAAGCAAATACAAATATAATTTTATATTTTTATACACAAAAGTAAGCATATTTATCACACTGTTCTGTACCTTGTTTCACACAGTAGTATATGTTGGATCTTTTCTTGTAAGTACAAAGAGAGCTTCCTCATTCTTTCCTGCATTTGCAAGTAATGCATAGTGTGTATGAACCCCAACTTATTAACTAGTCCCCCATTGATGGGCACTTAGTTGTTTCTAGTCTTTTGCTCTTATAAACATTAATGCAGGGAATGACCTTATCATAAGTCACTTTGCATGTGTGCAAGTATATCTGTGGGATAAATTTCCTAGAAGAAGGCTACTCAACCAAGGATAATTTGATAATTTTGTAATGTTTAACATTTTTTTTTTGCATTTTAACAATTTATTCTTAGTTACATTTAATTTTAATTTTTAACAGTTGTAATTTTCATATGTAATGCCAAATTTCTCTCCAAAGAGTCTGTACTATTTATATTCCCACTAGCAGGGCATGTACATGGGTGTTTTGCCAAAGCCTCGCCTACAGAGTATGTTTATAAATTTCAATATTTTTGCAATTTAATAGGTGAAAAATGTTATCTCATGTTAACTGTTAAAATTCTTTTATTATCTCTGAGGTTGAAATCTTTTCATATGTTTAAAAGCCATTTATATTTCTTTTTCCTTTAACTATCTGATCATATTATTTGCTCATTTTTTCTATTACTCATGGATCTTAGCAGTTTCTAGGACTTCATATCACTTTATTAAATCACTCGTTCATTAAATATTTTAGTGCCTACCTAATGTGCTAGGTGTTGTTCTAGGTATTAGAGATGTGTCAGCGAGCAGTGAACAAAATAAATAAAAATTCCCGCTCTCATTCTAGCCTGAGAGCAGATCAGGGCACCTGTTCAACTGTAGGGATGGCCAGCTGCCAGTGCAGGAGGAGGCGGGCAGAGGTCAGCTGCTACCTCCGTAACATGCAGCTCCTCTGATATCTCTGTCCCCTCATCTCTAAGGGAATACTTCCAGGGCCTGCCAGAAAACATACAGAGTACAGCTCAACTTGGAGATTGCTGGTATAATCTTTACTTTTTTTTCCAGAACTACCTAATAATTCATTGCAAATAATGTTATTAGTCGTTTTTTAAACTCAGAAAGCCAGCATACCTTAATTAAAATCAGATTTTTGTTTTCTCCCTAAGAGGAAAAAATGGAGTAGGATCTTTTGTTTTGTTTTGAGACAGGGTCTCACTCTGTCGCCCAGGCTGGAGTGTAGTGGCACGATCTTGGCTCACTGCAACCTCTGCCTCTCGGGTTAATGAGATTCTCCTGCCTCAGCCACCTGAGCGGCTGGGATTACAGGTGCGTGCCACCATGCCTGGCTAATTTTTGTATTTTTAATAGAGATGGGGTTTCACCAGGTTGGGCAGGCTGGTCTCGAACTCTTGACCTCAGGTGATCCGCCTGCCTCGGCCTCCCAAAGTGCTGGAATTACAGATGGGAGCCACTGTGCATGGCAGGATCTTTTCTTATATGAGAATTGTTTTATTAGGACTCTGACATTCTTCTTACAAAGTTACCTACTTTTTTCCAAAAATCTGAAAAGATTTAGGGAGGAGATCAATGGAACATGTAATGTGTTTTCTCCAGTCTAAAACTTAACAGCTGCATAACTAATTTTAAGTACAAATCATGCTCTTGGGTTACTGAGAGTTACTGGTATATGGTTGTGATTAAAGTTAAAACTTTATTTATACCTGTATCTCTAATTTTCTTTACTGATTTTCAGCTTTAGTCTACTGAAAATACCATTACATTTTAAGAGAAAAAAAGGTGACCAATATATTATTAAGATATAAGAAAAAGCCTTTTTAAATTTTACTGATTATGAAATCAATAGATGTTTCATTGTTTAAAAATAATCTAGAAAATACCAAAAAAAAAGGAAAATATATATGAAAAAAATCTGTAATTCTTCTGCCCAGATTCAGTAACTGTTAACATTTGGGTGAATTTTTTATACAATCAGAAACATTTATTGAACACCCTCTCTGCCAGTTCACTGCTAGGAACCAAGTAGAGAGTCAGACAGAGATGGCTCTTTTTTGAGCTTACAGGCCAGCCTAGAAGAGGACCATGAGGAACATGTATTGGCAGAGGGGAGAACCTAATCTGTGGGCTCAGAGAAGGCTTCCCTGGGGAAGTGACTTACCTGGGACCTGAGGGTTGAGTGAGGCTCCAGTGTGGATAGGAAAGGAGGAGAGACAACAGCACATTTGAACGTGAGATCATGAGCTAAGATCATGGTGTTTGAAGAAGTGAGAAAAGTCCAAGAATGCAGAGAATAAGCTGTTGGCAACTGGAGACATGGGAGTAACATTCTTAAGATCTAAACTAGGGGTTTCTAGACTTTGGGATTTTATAGATTTTTTTGGATCCAGCTTCCCAGAAGAATATCTTGAGGTGACTATTCCTGTGCAATTTTTATGGAAATTTTTGTGGAAATTTTTTTATGAAGATACTCTAGGAGAAGCTAGTAAAGGAGTAGGGAAAGCATGATGGGAAAAATCAAGCAAGGATGCAATATCATGTGAAGTCCCAGTCTGCTGGGAGGCAAAGTTGCTAGAGAGCTGGGCCCTTATACTCCTGCACCAGCCAGACTTTTACCATGGGCTGGAAGGGTGGGAAAGGGGGACTGTCAATCTTCTAGGCACATGTCACTCCCTAGATGAAGCCCAAGGTAGTTCTGTGAAGAAGGTTGTAAGTGTAAACCCTTAGGAGCAAAGCAAGCCCATCTGCAGGGTGGCACATAGAACTGATGAGATGGGGGATGTGCATGTGAATGGAGTTCAGGTGGGAGGAGTCAGTCACAATAAACTAGTAACATAATAATCATCATAAAAATTAGGGAACTCATAGACTTGTCAGATTATTTACTTTGCTAAATTAACATACAGTAAAAAGACAAACAAAATGCCAATGTTACCTGTCATCACCATTATTTCATAAAAGTTTATGCATCTGTTCAAAAAAAATTAACCAGTGAAGAGCTTGGTCAATTCTGAGTTAAATGACAAAATCATGTTTTTTGGCCCACAAAGTCGAAAGGACAAGATCATGACAAATTTGTGAAATGATTACTCAAGCAACTCAGTTTATACCAAGAAATCAGCATGATCAGAATCTTGAATAAAGATTTCTTTCAATGTTATAAGAACATATATGTGTGATAGGTGCATACTAAATGTGCATTCTCACATTTAGTGATGGAAAACTCCGTCATGTACTACTGTTTGGGAACCCAGTGGGCTACAGTGTCTATTATTTTAATTTTATATCCCTCCCTTAGGAGTTAACAAACAAGAATGTGTTGGAGTAGCTCAGGAATTTGCAGGAAATTGACTTCTTTTAGTCCCAGAACATTTAAAATTTAAAACCAGTCTTTTCCTATTTCATGTGATTGCATTTCTTTGTTCAGTAAATGAAGTGGAGAAGTTACAGGTAGTTCTACCAGATCTTAAAGTCTCCTCATTTCTTGCCTAGTACCTTATTAAGAGCAAAAGAAAAAGGCCTGGCATGGTGGCTCACGCCTGTAATCCCAGCACTTTGGGAGGCCGAGGGGGGCGGATAACAAGGTCAAGCGTTTGAGACCAGCCTGGCCAACATGGTGAAACCCCGTCTCTACTAAAAACACAAAAATTAGCCAGGCGTGGTGGCGGGCACCTGTAATTCCAGCTATTCGGGAGGCTGAGGCGGGAGAATCACTTGAAACCAGAAGGCGGAGGTTGCAGGTTTTATAGAGTGCCCTAGTCCTGTGAATAATATCTTAATGGATGCTTATGTAAGACTCAGAAAATAGGCTAGCTCAGGGTTACCATTTGGAAGAGAGAGACAAGGAAACGGGGAAGAAGAAGATGACAAATAGAGGTCAGATTAAAGAAACCAATTGGAATAAAGTTATTTGGGAATGAAATTTAATGATGTGGAATTTTTTTTCAGTGTTCAAAGCACTCCAACTATATAATATTGAAATTAAGAAAGCAGGGAGAAAAAAAGAGGCTTTCATAGAATTTGCTACCAAATCCAGTTGCTTAAGTAACGATTTCACAAATTTGTCATGACCTGGACCTTGGTCATGTGGGCCAAGAAACATGAGTTTGTCATTTAACTCAGAATTGACCAAGCTCTTCACTGGTTAATTCTTTTTTTAAGCACATGCTAGTTTATTAGTTTCCAATTAGAGATGGGCTGGGAGGCAGGGAGTGAATAGATAGACCTGTCAGAATACTTGTTACTTTTATTTCTGTTTTCCTATTATTCCTTCACTTTCAGCTAGTGAAATGGAACAGGGTTGGCAAGATAACTTTCTTTGCTGGCTACTAGATATACTTACTGGCTAGGATAAATTTTGGTTGCAAGGAAGCTTTTTGTACTCATCTGCCTGGCTTCAAGCCTGAATACAGGTTAGAAAACTTGCTTTCTTTGGTTTCCATTAATGAAACATCTCTCTTCCTCTCATCTACCCACTGCTTCCTGGTTGCCCTGGAGAAAGTTTCTTAGTGGTATAACAGGTCAGCAGTCATAGAGTGGTTTGTTTCTGAGCACTGGACACATAGTAGTCATCCAGTACAATCAACAGAAAGAACATTAAATGGGCTGTGTTAGTTACTATCCCAGAATTGAATGCTCCAGATGCAGACTGTAAGCCCAGTCTCAAAGACATTCCAGGCTGAATTTTGCACATGTGATACTTGAGATTTAAAATACTTAAAGAGTACATTAGAGTTTGTCAGATTTGTCCAGTAAATAAATACAGTGTATGAGAATAATATTAAACATGTAAATGTACTATTACAAAAGCCATGACTTAAAGGAGTTTAATCATATCAACACTGCCCTGGGGCTAGAGAATTAAAAGAGTTGAGCTTTCTCCAGAATGTGTGTGTGTGTGTGTGTGTGTGTGTGTGTGTGTGTATGTGTGTGTACCCATATGTACATGTGCGTATGTTTATGTTTGTTTTCTTGTTTTCACTGACTAGTTTTTATTATTCTGGCTTTAGTTTTCCAGAATAAAAAGAAATTCTCATATTCTCTTGTTGGGTAAGATAGATACCTTTCTCATTTTAACTTAGAAATGATACATTTTAGCTCTATTGGGGAATTTTAAACAAAAACCTTAATGCAGGTAGCAGAAAATCTATTTGTATTGGTCTCATAGTTAATTCAAATAATTTTTCTGTCTTTTTTTTTCTTGTTACTTTTTAGGTTATCAAGAAAAATAAAAGTAAAATATAGAAACTAATGATTTACTTGGAAATTTTTAATATTTAGACATATTTTTAAATCTTTCTAAAAACAGATACAATCCTGATATTCCACTTTAAGTATAATTTTTGCAGATTCTGATATATATGTAACTAAATAATCTTTATGCGATATAGAAGTCAGAAGCAAGAATGATGCTAAAATAACATTAATCCTAATATGTTTAAACATGCTAGAAATGTTAAGGAAGTCAGTGTAAAGCATCATCTTAACCCTGTCTGTTTTGCATGTTCTGCAAGGTAGCTAGAGAGGACTTTTTGTAGATTAATGCATTATTAAAATTGAATATTTATGTTCTAATCAATGTCTTTATGTTTATATTTATAATTTTTAATTTGATTTACATTATAATGCATTTCAAATTATACATGAAGACCTGTATTGTGTGCATATTTATTTATTGCTAAGAACTTGGCAGAGGTTATTTCTTTATTATATTTTCAGTGTTCTTCTTAAGCCTCCCAAAACTCCCCATTGAAACTAAACAACAAAGTAGGCTGGTTTAGTTCACATGTGCTGTAAACCAGTATAGGTGGTTATTTCACAGGGTCTTGAGGGGTCCTTGTTTCTTGGAGATGTTCCTCCAGCATCGTCTGGTGTCAATTTGCAGTGGCGACAAAAAAGTAAGACTAAAATTTGAATTTCTTCATGTATTCTATAATTTACTCTGTGATTCTTGGAAATAAGGTATCCAAAATTAGGCATACATTTTCTCACCAGCATTGTTTTAGATGTTTCATGCTTCTGTTCCCTAGCACCTATATGGCTAGCTCTGTTTTGCTGCATGTATTTACATTAGAGTATTCAAATCAATTCCTTCGTTAGGAACCCTTGATTTTAGCAGTTAATCTCTAGGGACATTCTTAGGTTCAGGATGGCATTCCAGGTTTGCTTTTCTGTCTTGTCACCAGAAGAAGATACCCAGCCTGCTTCTCTTTCCTCATTAAACCTGCCACAGCCTGCTCTATTCTTTGGAACTCTTTCCCTGCCTTGCAAGATTGGTTATAGGGTGTAACTAATTTATCCATTGCTACTTTAATGTTGCCTCTGAATACAAATACTCACAGGCTGTTTATGTTTGATGGATTTTATTCCTACATTTCAGGAGAGAATCAGCAAAAATAACAAGTATGGGATTTTAAAGGTTCTAGAAACTGTAATAAAAGTCCCTACTGCTAAAGTTCCCTATTCTGTGGTTCCTGATTCCCTTCGTGATATGTTTATTAGAATTCCTTTGGAGTTTGCTTTTATTCCTGAAGGTAGAAATTGCCATACTTCCCTCTCCATTCTTCCAAGATTGTGGCTGTATGCTTTTCTTGGTCCCTTCTGGGCCTAAAAACAGTAGGAGTACCTATATGTTGATGGCTTCTATAATTTTGGCTCTGATTTCTCCCTTGAGTTTCACATTTTTTTTTTCTTTCAGTTTCTTCTATGCGTTGCCATTATCAGTTTTTACTTAGATCTCAGTAGGTCATTGGGCCAGGGAAATAAACGAACAATTTATTGGTGGAAAAAAATCTCATATGATTAATGAATATATAAAAAAATTAAGTGCCATTAGTAATCAGTGAATTACAAATTACATCATAAGGAGATATGGCTCACTATGAAACTAGAGATTATTTTTAATGCTTTCAGTGATCATTCTTATGTACTATTGGCATAAGCTTTTTTGAAAGCAATTTGTAGTGTGTATTGAGAGACTTAAAAATATTCTTATTCTTTGATGTAAAATCTTTATTAAAAAATTTTACTAGCAAAAGTAAATAATTAGGAATAGAGAAAAGGTGATAATTGAAGTATTTTTAAATGTTTCTAATTTTCTCTTTATTAGAAATAATATTAGAGAAATAGTTAACTGACATATGAGTATATTAAGTACCTGATGATGCTATTATTATGAAGAATCTTTAAATAATTTTGGAAAATAGTTTTATAAGAAGACTTATCTGGAGATGGAATATAAGTTAGGCCTTGAAGAATAGATATGCAGATAATAGTAGGTTGGGCATTTCATGGGGAGGAAGATAACACGAGCAAAGACATAAAGGTGGAAATAAGTTTATTGCATGGAAAATAATGATTAATCTGGCTGGGAAGCAGGAGTTCATTTGGAGGAATAGGAGAATGTTATTCCCCTTTTATGTCTTTAGATATTTGCTAGATACTAAGGATATAAGGATAACTTAAATATAGCAAAAATGGAAATTCAGGAGAAGGGCATATACAAGAAACAGTTTCTTGAAAAATTTGATGAAACAATGATTTGATAAAATAAAGAGAAAAAGATAATATGAAAGTTTTGCATTTATATGAGGCTAGTGACAGAAATGGAAAAGCTGAAGCAGGAGACCTTTGTGAAGCAAAATGATCAGTTTAGTTTCCGCAGTTGGTTTAAGCCATGCACACAGGGAGCTTCATCTTTGTGTGTTTTATTCTTTGGGTTTACTTATCTTGTAAACTGTAATGTTGTTCAGATACCTCTAACTACATGTTCCAGTTTTTAAACTGATCAATGTGAAATCTGTAAAAAAGGACTGTTTGGGGACTTATAAAAATAAATTAATAAGGTCTGTGGCATTTGGTTTTTTAAAGTTTTTTATATCTTGGGAACAATACTTATATTGGATTCTATTTATTTTGATGACTTTGTTTCACACTGTGACATATTGGGCATGGGTCTATAACCTTAAGGGACCAGTAGATCTCATTCTAAACTGTATTATAGGGAAGTTTCTTTTTTTGGCAGATGGGAGATTCTTTGGTCAGAGAGACCTACGAAGGTGAATGCTTCCCAAGCTCGCCAGTTTAAACCTTGTATTAAGCAGATAAATTTCCCCACAAATCTTATACGACTGGAAGTAAATAGTTCTCTTCTGGAATATTACACTGAATTAGATGCAGTTGTGCTACATGGTGTGAAGGACAAGCCAGTGCTTTCTCTCAAGACTTCACTTATTGACATGAATGATATAGAAGATGATGCCTATGCAGAAAAGGATGGTTGTGGAATGGACAGTCTTAACAAAAAGTTTAGCAGTGCTGTCCTCGGGGAAGGGCCAAATAATGGGTATTTTGATAAACTACCTTATGAGGTAAGCCAAAAATATTTAGCAGCAGTATTGGATATAACACTATAGATTTTTAATCTTTAGATATTAATGTTTACTGAGCATCGGTAATTGAGCATTGGTAAGTTATATATAATTTGATGTGTTGTATATTTTGATTTTGGAAAAACTAGACAAAATCATGTTTTAACTAATTTCACTGCTTTTGTTTTGGTTTGGCATTAGTGTTTCTGGGTAAACTATTAAGTATATATTTTCATATTGCTAATTAATAATAACCAAATACAAAAACCAGTAATAAGTAACAATCCACTTTAATTCATATTACACTTTAACTGTGGGCAATACATGCTTAACTTTTTATTAGTTATGTTAAAGATGATTTGCTATTAAAAATAAGAATATTAATAAGATTGTGAGATGAATGCTTATTCTGTTTAATCTGTAGTTTCTCTAAGTGTCATTTTTTTTCTATACTAACTCTATTCTATATTCTCCTAACTGTAATTTTTGGTCTAGGCAGGTAGTGCTATTACCTTGGAATTATTAATACTTTTTTTTTTTTTTAGTTTTTTTTTAATTATACTTTAAGTTTTAGGGTACATGTGCACAATGTGCAGGTTAGTTACATATGTATACATGTGCCATGCTGGTGTGCTGCACCCATCAACTCGTCATTTAGCATTAGGTATATCTCCTAATGCTATCCCTCCCCACTCGCCCCACCCCACAACAGTCCCCAGAGCGTGATGTTCCCCTTCCTGTGTCCATGTGTTCTCATTGTTCAATTCCCACCTATGAGTGAGAACATGCGGTGTTTGGTTTTTTTGTCCTTGTGATAGTTTACTGAGAATGATGATTTCCAATTTCATCCATGTCCCTACAAAGGACATGAACTCATCATTTTTTATGGCTGCATAGTATTCCATGGTGTATATGTGCCACATTTTCTTAATCCAGTCTATCATTGTTGGACATTTGGGTTGGTTCCAAGTCTTTGCTATTGTGAATAGTGCCTCAATAAACATACGTGTGCATGTGTCTTTCTAGCAGCATGATTTATTGTCCTTTGGGTATATACCCAGTAATGGGATGGCTGGGTCAAATGGTATTTCTACTTGTAGATCCCTGAGGAATCGCCACACTGACTTCCACAATGGTTGAACTAGTTTACAGTCCCACCAACAGTGTAAAAGTGTTCCTATTTCTCCACATCCTCTCCAGCACCTGTTGTTTCCTGACTTTTTAATGATTGCCATTCTAACTGGTGTGAGATGGTATCTCATTGTGGTTTTGATTTGCGTTTCTCTGATGGCCAGTGATGATGAGCATTTTTTCATGTGTCTTTTGGCTGCATAAATGTCTTCTTTTGAGAAGTGTCTGTTCATATCCTTCACCCACTTTTTGATGGGGTTGTTTTTTTCTTGTCAATTTGTTTGAGTTCATTGTAGATTCTGGATATTAGCCCTTAGTCAGATGAGTAGGTTGCGAAAATTTTCTCCCATTTTGTAGGTTGCCTGTTCACTCTGATGGTAGTTTCTTTTGCTGTGCAGAAGCTCTTTAGTTTAATTAGATCCCATTTGTCAATTTTGGCTTTTGTTGCCATTGCTTTTGGTGTTTTAGACATGAAGTCCTTTCCCATGTCTATGTCCTGAATGGTAATGCCTAGGTTTCCTTCTAAGGTTTTTATGGTTTTAGGTCTAACGTTTATGTCTTTAATCCATCTTGAATTAATTTTTGAATAAGGTGTAAGGAAGGGATCCAGTTTCAGCTTTCTACATATGGCTAGCCAGTTTTCCCAGCACCATTTATTAAATAGGGAATCCTTTCCCCATTGCTTGTTTTTCTCAGGTTTGTCAAAGATCAGATAGTTGTAGATATGTGGCGTTATTTCTGAGGGCTCTGTTCTGTTCCATTGATCTATATCTCTGTTTTGGTACCAGTACCATGCTGTTTTGGTTACTGTAGCCTTGTAGTATAGTTTGAAGTCAGGTAGCATGATGCCTCCAGCTTTGTTCTTTTGGCTTAGGATTGACTTGGTGATGTGGGCTCTTTTTTGTTTCCATATGAACTTTAAAGTAGTTTTTTCCAATTCTGTGAAGAAATTCATTGGTAGCTTGATGGGGATGGCATTGAATCTATAAATTACCTTGGGCAGTATGGCCATTTTCACGATATTGATTCTTCCTACCCATGAGCATGGAATGTTCTTCCATTTGTTTGTATCCTCTTTTATTTCCTTGAGCAGTGGTTTGTAGTTCTCCTTGAATAGGTCCTTCACGTCCCTTGTAAGTTGGATTCCTAGGTATTTTATTCTCTTTGAAGCAATTGTGAATGGGAGTTCAATCATGATTTGGCTCTCTGTTTGTCTGTTATTGGTGTATAAGAATGCTTGTGATTTTTGTACACTGATTTTGTATCCTGAGACTTTGCTGAAGTTGCTTATCAGCTTAAGGAGATTTTGGGCTGAGACAATGGGGTTTTCTAGATATACAATCATGTTGTGTGCAAACAGGGACAATTTGACTTCCTCTTTTCCTAATTGAATACCCTTTATTTCCTTCTCCTGCCTAATTGCCCTGGCCAGAACTTCCAACACTATGTTGAATAGGAGTGGTGAGAGAGGGCATTCCTGTCTTGTGCCAGTTTTCAAAGGGAATGCTTCCAGTTTTTGCGCATTCAGTATGATATAGGCTGTGGGTTTGTCATAGATAGCTCTTATGATTTTGAGATATGTCCCATCAATACCTAATTTATTGAGAGTTTTTAGCATGAAGCGTTGTTGAATTTTGTCAAAGGCCTTTTCTGCATCTATTGAGATAATCATGTGGTTTTTGTCTTTGGTTCTGTTTATATGCTGGATTACATTTATTGATTTGCGTATATTGAACCAGCCTTGCATCCCAGAGGTGAAGCCCACTTGATCATGGTGGATAAGCTTTTTGATGTGCTGCTGGATTCGGTTTGCCAGTATTTTATTGAGGATTTTTTTGCATCAATGTTCATCAAGGATATTGGTCTAAAACTCTCTTTTTTGGTTGTGTCTCTGCCCAGCTTTGGTATCAGGATGATGCTGGCCTCATAAAATGAGTTAGGGAGGATTCCCTCTTTTTCTATTGATTGGAGTAGTTTCAGAAGGAATGGTACCAGTTCCTCCTTGTACCTCTGATAAAATTCGGCTGTGAATCCATGTGGTCCTGGACTCTTTTTGGTTGGTAAGCTGTTGATTATTGCCACAATTTCAGATCCTGTTATTGGTCTATTCAGAGATTCAACTTCTTCCTGGTTTAGCCTTGGGAGAGTGTATGAGTCGAGGAATTTATCCATTTCTTCTATATTTTCTAGTTTATTTGCATAGAGATGTGTGTAGTATTCTCTGATGGTAGTTTGTATTTCTGTGGGATCGGTGGTGATATCCCCTTTATCATTTTTTATTGAGTCCGTTTGATTCTTCTCTCTTTTTTTCTTTATTAGTCTTGTAGCGGTTTATCAATTTTGTTGATCCTTTCAAAAAACCAGCTTCTGGATTCATTAATTTTTTGAAGGGTTTTTTTATGTCTCTATTTCCTTCAGTTCTGCTCTGATTTTAGTTATGTCTTGCCTTCTGCTATCTTTTGAATGTGTTTGCTCTTGCTTTTCTAGTTCTTTTAATTGTGATGTTAGGGTGTCAATTTTAGATCTTTCCTGCTTTCTCTTGTGGGCATGTAGTGCTATAAATTTCCCTCTACACACTGCTTTGAATGCATCCCAGAGATTCTGGTATGTTGTGTCTTTGTTCTTATTGGTTTCAAAGAACATCTTTATTTCTGCCTTCATTTCGTTATGTACCCAGTAGTCATTCAGGAGCAGGTTGTTCAGTTTCCATGTAGTTGAGCGGTTTTGAGTGAGTTTCTTAATCCTGAGTTCTAGTTTGATTGCACTGTGGTCTGAGAGACAGTTCTGTTCTTTTACATTTGCTGTGGAGTGGTTTACTTCCAACTATGTGGTCAATTTTGGAATAGGTGTGGTGTGGTGCTGAAAAAAATGTATATTCTTTTGATTTGGGGTGGAGAGTTCTGTAGATGTCTATTAGGTCCGCTTGATGCCGAGCTGAGTTCAATTTCTGGGTATCCTTGTTAACTTTCTGTCTCGTTGATCTGTCTAATGTTGACAGTGGGGTGTTAAAGTCTCCCATTATTATTGTGTGGGAGTCTAAGTCTCTTTTAGGTCACTGAGGACTTGCTTTATGAATCTGGGTGCTCCTGTATTGGATGCATATATATTTAGGACAGTTAGCTCTTCTTGTTGAATTGATCCCTTTACCATTGTGTAATGGCCTTCTTTGTCTCTTTTGATCTTTGTTGGTTTAAAGTCTGTTTTATCAGAGACTAGGATTGCAACCCCTGCCTTTTTTTGTTTTCCATTTGCTTGGTAGATCTTCCTCCATCCTTTTATTTTGAGCCTATGTGTGTCTCTGCACGTGAGATGGGTTTCCTGAATACAGCACACTGATGGGTCTTGACTCTTTATCCAATTTGCCAGTCTGTGTCTTTTAATTGGAGCATTTAGTCCATTTATATTTAAAGTTAATATTGTTAGGTGTGAATTTGATCC
Organism: Homo sapiens; assembly: GCF_000001405.40. Lineage (NCBI taxonomy): Eukaryota > Metazoa > Chordata > Mammalia > Primates > Hominidae > Homo > Homo sapiens. Next base: position 98,912,804 of record NC_000006.12, on the reverse strand, counting down.
TGTCATTATGATGTTAGCTGGTTATGTTGCTCGTTAGTTGATGCAGTTTCTTCCTATTCTCGATGGTCTTTACATTTTGGCGTGATTTTGCAGCAGCTGGTACCGGTTGTGCCTTTCCATGTTTAGTGCTTCCTTCAGGAGCTCTTTTAGGGCAGGCCTGGTGGTGACAAAATCTCTCAGCATTTGCTTGTCCGTGAAGTATTTTATTTCTCCTTCACTTATGAAGCTTAGTTTGGCTGGATATAAAATTTTGGGTTGAAAATTATTTTCTTTAAGAATGTTGAATATTGGCCCCCACTCTCTTCTGGCTTGTAGAGTTTCTGCCGAGAGGTCAGCAGTTAGTCTGATGGGCTTCCCTTGGTGGGTAACCCGACCTTTCTCTCTGGCTGCCCTTAACATTTTTTCCTTCATTTCAACTTTGGTGAATCTGACAATTATGTGTCTTGGAGTTGCTCTTCTTGAGGAATATATTTGTGGCGTTCTCTGTATCTCCTGAATCTGAATGTTGGCCTGCCTTGCTAGATTGGGGAAGTTCTCCTGGATAATATCCTGCAGAGTGTTTTCCAACTTGGTTCCATTCTCCCTGTCACTTTCAGGTACGCCAATCAGACATAGATTTGGTCTTTTCACATAGTCCCATATTTCTTGGAGGCTTTGTCCGTTTCTTTTTATTCTTTTTTCTCTAAACATCCCTTCTCGCTTCATTTCATTCATTTCATCTTCCATCACTGATAACCTTTCTTCCAGTTGATTGCATGGGCTCCTGAGGCTTGTGCATTCTTCACGTAGTTCTTGAGCCTTGGCTTTCAGCTCCATCAGCTCCTTTAAGTACTTCTCTGTATTGGTTATTCTAGTTATACATTTGTCTAAATTTTTTTCAAAGTTTTTAACTTCTTTGCCTTTGGTTTGAATTTCCTCCTGTAGCTCGGAGTAGTTTGATCGTCTGAAACCTTCTTCTCTCAAGTCGTCAAAGTCATTCTCCGTCCAGCTTTGTTCCATTGCCGGTGAGGAACTGCGTTCCTTTGGAGGAGAGGCGCTCTGCTTTTTAGAGTTTCCAGTTTTTCTGCTCTGTTTTTCCCCCATCTTTGTGGTTTTATCTACTTTTGGTCTTTGATGATGGTGATGTACAGATGGGTTTTTGGTGGATGGCCTTTCTGTTTGTTAGTTTTCCTTCTAACAGACAGGACCCTCAGCTGCAGGTCTGTTGGAGTTTGCTAGAGGTCCACTCCGGACCCTGTTTGCCTGGGTGTCAGCAGCAGTGTCTGCAGAACCGCAGATTTTCGTGATCCGCGAATGCTGCTGTCTGATCATTTCTCTGGAAGTTTTGTCTCAGAGGAGTACCCGGCCGTGTGAGGTGTCAGTCTGCCCCTACTGGAGGGTGCCTCCCAGTTAGGCTGCTTGGGGGTCAGGGGTCAGGGACCCACTTGAGGAGGCAGTCTGCCCGTTCTCAGATCTCCAGCTGCGTGCTGGGAGAACCACTGCTCTCCTCAAAGGTGTCAGACAGGGACATTTAAGTCTGCAGAGGTTACTGCTGTCTTTTTGTTTGTCTGTGCCCTGCCCCCAGAGGTGGAGCCTACAGAGGCAGGTAGGCCTCCTTGAGTTGTGGTGGGCTCCACCCAGTTTGAGCTTCCCGGCTGCTTTGTTTACCTAAGTGAGCCTGGGCAATGGCAGGCGCCCCTCCCCCATCCAGGCTGCCACCTTGCAGTTTGATCTCAGACTGCTGTCCTAGCAATCAGCGAGACTCCGTGGGCGTAGGACCCTCCGAGCCAGGTGCGGGATATAATCTCCTGGTGCGCCGTTTCCTAAGGCCTTCGGAAAAGCGCAGTATTTGGGTGGGAGTGGCCCGATTTTCTAGGTGCCATCTGTCACCCCTTTCCTTGACCAGGAAAGGGAACTCCCTGATCCCTTGTGCTTCCCAAGTGAGGCAATGCCTCGCCCTGCTTCGGCTGGCGCACGGTGCGCTGCACCCACTGTCCTGCGCCCACTATCTGGCACTCCCTGGTGAGATGAACCCGGTACCTCAGATGGAAATGCAGAAATCACCCGTCTAATGCGTTGCTCACGCTGGGACCTATAGACTCGAGCTGTTCCTATTCGGCCATCTTGGCTCCTCCCCCCACAATACTTTTTTTTTTTCTTTTTTTTTTCGAGATGGAGTCTCGCTCTGTTGCCCAGGCTGGAGTGCAGTGGTGCCATCTCGGCTCACTGCAAGCTCCGCCTCCTGGGTTCATGCCATTCTCCTGCCTCAGCCTCCCGAGTAGCTGGGACTACAGGTGCCTGCCACCATGCCTGGCTAACTTTTTTTTTGTATTTTTAGTAGAGACAGGGTTTCACTGTGTTAGCCAGTATTGTCTCGATCTCCTGACCTCGTGATCCACTCACCTTGGCCTCCCAGAGTGCTGGGATTATGGGCGTGAGCCACCGTGCCCGGCCTGGAATTATTAATACTTTTTTGTTTGTCTAGTCTGAAGTCCTGTTTTCAGTGTGTCCCTACTGGGGTGTTTCTGAGGTATTTTAGCATCCCAGGCTCCCAGATATCAAATGCTAGTAGCATTCTAGGGCTGTGTGACATGAAAACCTCTCCCCACCAGTTTCGAAATATTCCTAGGGGTGAGAGTAGGGCCAAGCATTTCTGTCTCCCACTGAAAACTACTGTGTGGTTAAAAATGTATATCAGTTTTCTTTTTAAGGAAACTTTATAGACTCAAATTTTAACCAACTTAGATATCCCTTTTCCAAATTGATGTGTATTTCAGATTTCATGGAAATAACACAAATAGCTTAACTTTCATGAAACAGTAAGATAGCCTTTTGAATGTCTTAGAGTAATAGTAACTATAATGCCTCTCCAACATATTACAGTTAAAATGCCATGGCACATCCTGTGAAGTAGCTAAAGTTGCCACATAAAGGTGAATTTAAGTGTCCAAGTTAATTTGGTCTTTAAGCCATGGGACCAGGATCCCACCCAGACCTCATGTGATGGAAAGGGAGCTTCACAGATTGGACAAAACTGGCCTTTACTGGGAGGAGGGAGGAAAGATGAAGGAAAAGCTGGGTTTGGGGAGAGAGAGGAGCATGAGATACTGACAGTGTTGCTCCTCAGGGCTCTGCGGTGGGTCTGTTGTTGCAGCAGTGGGAGCAATTCATCTGGAGGAGAGTGAATCGCTGCTTTGATTCTTACCCACTTGCAAAAACTGTAAAATAGAAATATAATTTCAGCAAATACATTTTAAACAGTTTATTGAATTTTATCCAGACCTGATAAAATGCTTGACCCATAGAATTTGAATGAAGGCCAGAAGACACTTGAGGCAAAGGGAAGAGAAGGTACAAAGATGAGAAGTGAAACTGTGTGACTTGTTTGGAAACTCCAGTATTTCAGTGTGACCAAAGCATAGGATTTGATAGGGGAGGCTGCAGGAGATGGAATTGGATGGAGGCTCAGGGCTGCCTCAGTGCACAGCTCCATGCACATAGATGACAGTGATTGGGACTCCCTGTCTTTGGCAGTGTGGAGTCTATTCTGCTGCGTCATAGAGGTCTGTTTGGGTTTCACCAAGAGATTTGCATTTTATCCCTTCAGCCAGTGATCTTCAGGGTGGTCCAGTATACAGCCAAATTAGTCAAGGGGAGTCACAGATACTTTAGACTTTGCAGATAATTTACTTTTGCTAAAAAATTAGAACATGCCCTAGAGTAGGAAAATACAATAAAGTAAAAATATCGGTTTTCCTTAATCAGTGTATTCAATGAAGTCCCAATTAAAATGCAAACAGAATTTTTTAAAATTGAAGTTTGCCTAAAAATATGAAAATACTCAGGAACATTCTGGAAAAGAAGTGTGATAGAGGAGTATTAGTCCTGATTCTCATTTGCAGTCAAACAATCCATGACATTCCAACACATATGCTTTAAAAAACTTAGTTATTTTACTTGGAGGACTATTGATATGGGAGAAATAGCATATAGATAAATGGAACAGAATAGAGTCCAGGAACAGGTCAAGAGGATAGTGGGAAATGTATCGACAACTCCCCTGGGAAAGTGTTATGTTTCTGTTGTTAAAAAAAAAAAGAAACACAAATAAAAACAGTTTTATATCTTTTCTTCCTTTTTTGTCTTTCAGAATAAAAACGTTTTGATACCAATGTTGTCTAGGATATAAGCAAAAGGGTACTTTCATACAATTTTTATGGATATATAAATTGATGGGAACATTGTGAATGGCAATTCTCCACTTGCATCAAAACTTCTAAATGCATGTAATTTACTATAAGGATATATTTTCAAAGTTTGCCAAGATGAACATACATGCATAATACATACACACAATGATATTGCAGTATTATTTGCAATAGGAAAAAAAGCAGGACATACATCAATGAGGAACTAGTTGAATTATGTCACTTCTATGAAACGGAAGGAGGTGGGTCTGTATGTGCAGATATAGAAAGATCTATAAGATATATCATTAAATGAGAAAAGCAAGTTGCTGAATGGTGTATATAGTATCATTCTTTTAGTGCAAATTCAAGAACAGAATTTCATACACATTTATTTGGAAGAGATCAGAAAAACAATGATTATCTTTGGGGAGAGGGATGGTTAGAACTGAGTGTAGAGAGGAAGAAACTTCTTATTTTAGACCTTTCTTTAATGTTTGGGTTTACTTTTTACTTGAAATTTTTGATTTTTGTTTGTGTAATATTTTACACATCAACAGGTGTATCTGGATGATGAGATTTGTTAAAGAAAAATTATTCAATCGTTCTAGGTATAGGGACCACTACAATGGGATTTTGCAGTGTCTGAGAGAGATTGGGTTCAACAGCATGGGCAAGTGGGAATTAATAGCCAAGGAGCAGATTAGAAAGTCAGTAAATTACTAAGAAAATTACTAAGAAACATCAGGAGTAAGGGAGATTCTGGCTACACCCTCTTTAAACTTATTTTAAAGATCATGTTGTTGTTACTCTGCGTTTTGTGATATTTTGGCTTAAAACAGTGAAAATCTGACCTGAAATTAATACTGAGCCTAGATAACAAAATAAATTGAAGAAGAGCATTTAGGTTAATTGCAAAACAAAAAGTTTAGCTAGATAAATACATTAAATTAAAAAAAACCCTCTCTCATCTAAATAAGATTTTTAACATTTAGCAAATATTTAATATCTTTTCCTTTATATTTGTTAGTTCAGAATAGGCTATTTAAGCAGTTCTTTGAAACTAGAAGCCCCCAACTGTTTAGAAAAAATAAACCTTGGACTAGTTCAAGAAGATAATTTTAATTAGAGATAACAATCTCTTGAATTCTGCCTTCTTAATAATTCTTGTATCTGTTTGCTACTCCATCATCACTGCCAGCTGCCTTAAGCAGACCCCTTATTTCCTATTTCCTAGAATTCTGTATTAGCCCCATGGCTGGTTTCTCTTCCTGCCTCCTTGCTCCCAGTAGCACGCCCACAATGATCTTTCTGAAACACAAATGTGAACATGTCACTCTAGTTTAAAACCCCTAGTTTAAAACCCTTCAGGACTCCTCATTGCTTTCAGGATAAATCCAAGCTCCTCTGTGAGGCTTTCATAACACAGTCTTTGCCACTAGACTCTCTTTTCACCTGGTTTGCCCCTGACTCTTTGAAGCTGAATGTTCCAGCAAAAAACTATCATCAGAGTGAACAGGCAACCTACAGAATGGGAGAAAATTTTTGCGATCTATCCATCTGACAAAGGGCTAATATCCAGAATCTACAAAGAAGTTAAACAAATTTACAAGAAAGAAACAACCCCATCAAAAAGTGGGCAAAGAATATGAACAGACACTGCTCAAAAGAAGACATTTATGCAGCCAACAAACATAAGAAAAAATGTTCATCATCACTGGTCATTAGAGAAATGCAAATCAAAATCACAATGAGATACCATCTCATGCCAGTTAGAATGGTGATCATTAAAAAGTCAGGAAACAACAGATGCTGGAGAGAATGTGGAGAAATAGGAATGTCTTTACACTGTTGGTGGGAGTGTAAATTAGTCAACCATTGTGGAAGACAGTGTGGTGATTCCTCAGGGATCTAGAACTAGAAATACCATTTGACCCAGCAATCCCATTACTGGGTATATACCCCAAGGATTATAAATCATTCTACTATAAGGACATATGCACATGTATGTTTATTGTGGCACTATTCACAGTAGCAAAGACTTGGAACCAACCCAAATATCCATCAGTGATAGACTGGATAAAGAAAATGTGGCACATATGTACCATGGAATACTATGCAGCCATAAAAAAGGATGAGTTCATGTCCTTTGCAGGGACATGGATGAAGCTGGAAACCATCATTCTCAGCAAACTAACACAGGAACAGACAACCAAGCACCGCATGTTCTCACTCATAAGTGGGAGCTGAACAATGAGAACACCTGGACACAGGCAGGGGAACACACTGGGGCCTGTTGGGGGGTGGTGGGGCTAGGGGAGGGATAACATTAGGAGAAATACCTAATGTAGGTGACGGGTTGATGGGTGCAGCAAAACACCATGGCACTTGTATACCTATGTAACACACCTGCATGTTCTGCACATGTACCCCAGAACTTAAAAGTGTTTTTTTTTTTTTTTTTAAAGCTGAGTGTTCCTGGCACAGGTACACTGTACACTTTCACTTTGGAGCTAGGTCTGCTAGGCTTTAGTAGCATTCTGTGTATCTTTTTGTCAAAGCTATTAAAACGTATCATTGTCCTTACCAATCCCCACTGGACTGTAAGCACTCTGAGAATGGGCACTCTTTCTTTTCTGTCGCCAGTGTCTGGCACGTAGTAGCTGTTCAGTAATGCTGAGTATGACAAATTGTATTAGTCAATAGATTACCAAAGTGTATCTTTGCACCTAAGAAAATGAGTAGGCAATGTGAGGTGAGTATACTTTGAATAATCTTGAAATGCACTACAGTCAAATGCACGTATGATTTCTTTTATTTGGATAATTCTGTTGGATGTTTATTTACTATGTGAAAATATTGTTATAAAATGTATGACACTTTTATTCCTTATTAGATTATGTTATATGTTTCATAGAATGATACTGCTTTTCACTCTTGATGATCTTGGTTTCTCTGTCTTATTTAGCTTATTCAGCTGATTCTGAATCATCTTACACTACCAGACCTGTGTAGATTAGCACAGACTTGCAAACTACTGAGCCAGCATTGCTGTGATCCTCTGCAATACATCCACCTCAATCTGCAACCATACTGGGCAAAACTAGATGACACTTCTCTGGAATTTCTACAGTCTCGCTGCACTCTTGTCCAGTGGCTTAATTTATCTTGGACTGGCAATAGAGGCTTCATCTCTGTTGCAGGATTTAGCAGGTTAGTACAAAGCCTTGATGAAGTTTTTTTCCCCCCCAGCAGCAGGTTATACTTATTATGTAGTGGTTTTCATAATAAAAGTTTGAAATTATGTAACATGTACTTACAAAAATAAAAAGGAAATATATTTTGAGTGTCATGTTTAGAATGCTGCTGCTTATAAAAAAATAAGTGTTTTACTATCCTCTTCAGCTAAATTTTATATGAATATGAAGGGAAACTATACCCTTTACTTCATGTTTCTTAAATCCCAAGTAACTTTCAGCAGAGCTCCTGTTTCTTCTTTTTCATATTTGCAGCACAGATGATTAACACATTTTAAAAACTATTTCCAAATCAAAATCTACCTCTCTAATGTGATTTGTCAGAAATGGAAAACAATTTATTATAGAACATTTTTAATTAAATCTTAATTACATGTGCAATACATCACCCAGATTTAGAAGCTCATTTAAACTAATTATGTTGAAAATGCAGTTGCATGCTAAATAGACGACCACACTTGCAGACCTGCCCAGGTGTTTCCGCTCCTTTCTATTTAAGCATTTAGTTTCCTTACTATTAAATGTCACCTGTTAAGCATTTGAAAGCTTGCACAAGTGCATATTCATTTAGTAATGCCATAGTAATTTTTTCTTAGGATACAAACAGGTGTTTTTCTCCTAACCTTGATCATGGTTTTTCTCATTGTATGTTACATATAATCCCAGCATTTTCATGAAGTTAAATAATGAAGAAGTAGAAACTTTAGAGAAATTTTCTGTTATTTTTAATTAATGAATACTCTTGTATTCTATTTTTAAAAATGAAAAGTGAACTGTAGCAATCCCTACACATATCCCCAGTGTACATTCTACAACAGTGGTTTATGAATTAGAAATTCGTATGTGGAGCCTTGTTTCCTCAACTTAGATTATAAAAATAAAGATGCAGTTCCAGAAATAAAGATTTGATATTGTTAGATTTAAATGAAGTAATGATGTTTGAAATAGTAACAATGTGTTCCAAATACTGAGCTTGATAGTTTATGCATCAAAGTGAAAAATAAACCAAGTAGTAATGGCTAGTAGCACATGTTGAAACCATGGATGCACTGAGTTTCTTTTCTGCCAGAAATTGAACCAGGAGAAGGGGTTCATTGCTAGATATTTGGCAGCTGTCCAGTGAAACACAGTTTAGTCCTTTCTACTTCCCTTTGCCCCAAACACACATATTTCAAATTCTTTTCTCTGCTAATAGGACCAAGAAAGAACTGAAGCTAATGAAGTCTGTGAATATTTAGAGTATACATTATCATAAACCAAGACTAACTGAATATGAAAACAGAACAAGTGGTGTCAGTAAGCATTATTTTACATTATGTAGACCATTAGGGTATTTTAATTACCCTCATAGCTCTTTCCCAATGTTTTCCATTATTAAGAATTTATTAAACGTTTGTTTTCACCCTTTGTGTGCAAGGCATTGTAGTGGGTGTTGATCATATACAGAGACATGAGATATATAATATAGTTCCTGCCTTCAGGCTACAGAGAAGATAAAGATATTAAGATAAACATATAAACATATCCCTTATTTTTATAAACAGAGTAACAGGGTAGTAACTAATGTGTAGACATTAAAGAAAATATTAGTCGTGAATGGCTGAAGTCCAGCTGTACTGGCAAAGTGCTGCATATGACTGTGATAATAACGAGTAAAATATAAAGCTAATATTAATCAATTTTAAAAACTTTATGCAGCTTCTGGCGCTTGAGAAGAAACATCACTTATAAGAAGAAAACTTAGCCATGCCATTTAAAAAATTTTTATACTAGTAATGGATAAAGATCTTTTGCAAAGTTAGAGTTTCTATCTACTTTCTAACCCACAATTTATCTTCCATTTTCAATTCACCCAGGGTAGTTGCTGTAGAGCAGTTTGAATAATCAGAAAAAGCCATATATAAATTTAAGTTCTCATATTTTACTGTAGTATTTCAGCCAGTAAAATCATAAATCTTGATGGCATTCCTTTAAGTGTAGTCACTATTCCCATTAAGAAAAGAAAAAGTTGAGGTAAGAGGGAGAGAGAACCTTTTCTTGTGGGGGGCATATTGGAGTTTTGCCTACTGATTACTGTTGGCCCCCATGACTTGACTGCTGAATTGATAGTTATTATGGCTTGTAGGCAGCATTCCCAGAATAAACAATAAATATGCATGGCTTGATTATTAATGAATAATCTTTGAATAAGTATGGTCTATTTATGCTCAGTACTATGAAGAAGACTTATTTGTAATACTTTAAAGAAGAAAAGCACATTTAAAAACTAGAGACCAATGTTGATGAGCTGCTTTTTGAACAAATCTTTGGGAAAAAGTTGGATGCAGTTTATTTTTGTTGCTTAAAAGCCTTATCTCACAAGTTAGAACTGTTTAACTAGATTTTAAATAACTTTTTAAGAATTGTTATTATTCAGAATAGTGGAGAAATAGGTTGCATTGGAATAAAGAGAACTTAAAACTTTTAATCAGTTATTAAAATCCTATTCTAGCTACAGATTTGTGATTTATTACTTTGAGTACTGTTCATGCATATCATTACTCATTAAAATCACATCTATTATAATTCCACTTTTCTAGTATGGTTCCCCAAAGTCTTAGATGTTCCTTTCCCTGCCTGCCTGTTTGTGCTTTGGAACTTAATTGTATCATTCTGTTCAAAAAGCCTTAGGTTCATTTTTTCCCTACCATTTTTCTTCAAATATTTGCTGAATGGCCTTGATCTCCCCCTCAGTTATGTGTAGGTTTTTACTCTAAACTCCTCTTACTTGTTCTCGGTAGTTTATATTCATTCCTTTAGGAAACATTCTTGGATGCGTTCTAGATTCGAGAACTTTATTAGGTATTTTGACATAGAGCTAAAGTTTTATGGTATAAAGAGCTTATTTCCCACTAATATATTTATTCAGTTGCCTGCCTATATTTTATACAGTTGTGTCTTAGATTGTCAACTCTAGAAAGTAGAGACCATTTTAAGGTGTTCTTTTCCCTTCTTTCTATCATTGTTGGATAGTACCCATATACAGTTAAGCAGGAAGTTTTGTTTTTAATGGCTTTATTTTGGATCAGCTATATTAAATAATGTTCCAAGTTATTTGGGATTAAAATTATCTTGAATATATTGTTTTAGAAAACTCGGTGAGGGTCAGCTAAAAAAACATGAGATTAGGAATTTAGAAGTCATAGATATTTATATCTAATTCTTCTCTTTTATACTTCAGGCAATTTCTGAGGACTATTACCTTTTATTTTGTGATAAGTAAACTCAAGTCATTCACGTGATCTTAATTATTTTAGGATGCAAGTTACCATTTAGTAAATTGCTTCTTATGTACTTGTATTATTTTGGACAAATTAATCACCTCATAATGATAAGCAATTTACTTTTCTCTCCAGAGATTCCTTTTCTCATAGCAGGAGACTTAGTCTGGGATTGTTTATCTGACTTAGGTCCTCTCATAAAACCTTCAGTATAAAAAAATACTTTGTGAGCATTCACAATGTAGAATGAATTGACTGCAGGAAGTAAACAAGCTGAGTTCTCCTTTCAAATGATCAGTGGCACAGTTGAGATGAAAAAATACATATATGTAATTATGCATTAAAGTAAAACCTGCATGAGAAGCATTAAGGAAAGAAGTAAGAGCTGTGTTCAGCTAATTGAGTCTGCTACTGTCTCTGCCCTCTTGGGATGTAGATATGAAAAGGTAGGTAGTATACATTTTGAAAATTTAAGTAGAGATAATATGAGGATATTAAATAATCTGCTCAGAGTAAAAATATGCAATATGGGATTCTTGAGAGAGAGAAAGAAAGTCAGAAAGGTAGTATAGGTATAGACTTTATCTTATTTTGCTTTCAAATTCCATCATTCATTAAATCAAGTTGGGAAGTTTCCTATTGTCTCCTAACAGTTTGCTTTCTGGTATAAAGCCAGAGTCTTTATAGTGACACACACTACGTCAACTGTCCCTCATCTCTGATCTACTCATCTCGCCATCATTTTGCGCCTCCTGCATCCCCCGTCTCACTGTTCTTCACTCTGCTTGTTATCCTGCCCTGGACTGCCCTTCCCTTTGCCTAGAATGCTCTTCCTCCAGATACCTGCTTTGCTCACCCTCTCGCTTCCTTCAGGGTTTTACTCACCACATCTCTGAAGCTTCTCTGACTACTCTGTCCATCCTTGACACTTTCTATTGCCCTTCCCTGCTTTTATTTCCTCCTGGGCACTTTTCACAAATTTGCGACTTACTTTACTCATTTGGTTATCATCTCCTTCTCTCTTCAAAACATTAGTAAGCTTCATGAGAGCAGGGATTTTGTTTTGTCCACTGCTATCTCCCCAGTGCCTAGACTATTGCCTGGATGATAGTAGAAGCTCAGGGCATATTTGTTGAATGAATGAATGAATGTGCTTCATGTAGACTGCAGTTTAGCTAATACAGCTAGCAAAGGAAGCAGCAGTGAGAGGGGTTGGAGGAGATCCAAGAGAGGGAGTTATGTGAGGAGTGTCAGAGTTTTAAGGAAGGAGTGTGCAGTTGTATGAAATGTCACAAATCAAATAATACAAGTTTGAATTTAGAATAAACGGGTGTTCACGTGTAAATAAGATGTGCAGGCTACTGGGTTATTTACAATATTTAAATTTGCAGCAACTGAATTTTTTTATTGTTTAAATGTGAATTGGCCAAGATTTAACTTATACTTAATGTTTATGGGGTGCTTTGACCTTTAAAAACTGCATTTGCGTAGTATTTCAGCTTCAATCCCACGAGGCAGTGTGGTGAATGTTGTTACATACTTCAAGTCTGCGTTTACAGCTGAGGAAATGCTAAGACTTGAGTAGATGCCTTTTCCAAGGTCTCTGCTAGGAACTAGTCAAACAATGCAAAAAACTCCATCTTTTAACCAGTGTTACTTTCTTTTATTTACACAACTAATCTGATTTAGTCAATTTTACTTTGTATGTGTATTTGTAAGCTCATTAAATCATTTAGGAATAAAGATGTGGCATAAATTGACTAACAGTATATTACTGATGTGACACTGGTGGGAAGATTTATGTCAAGAGACCTGGACAGGCATAATTGGTACACTGTTAAGAGGGTTCAGTTTGCTTAGTTGATAAAGTTTCATGGATTCAAATACTCCTAGATTCATGTTTACTTTTAGATTGTTTTCAGGGGATGATCATAGACAGGACTATTTTTCCCCCAACTATAACATAACTGACATAAATATTGTGGTAACTACTCTGATAAAGCATTTTGTGACCTTCATCTTGGTTTATTTCTATATATTTTATGTAAAGCTGCAATTGAATATTTTCAATATCAAGCAATCTAGCTGCTAAATAGTAACAGCTGCAAGTACCATAACAGTGCTGTAGTTAAACCCACATAGACATTTTCTGAGCTGAGAGGAGCCTAGTCTGATTTGTTTTGAGGTTATTTAAATAAGTTGTTACTTTCGTGTGCAGTGTTCAAAATATATTATCCAGTACTTGATGGGTACTGTTGAGGGGGAAATATCTCCCAAGAGTTTAGAGTTTTGTTATGTTTTGCTGTTTTTTTTTGTTTTTGTTTTTTGGCTTTACCAACTCAGATGTGAATTATAGGTAAGTGGGAAAAATATATCTTCTACTTTCTTAATTTTCCACTTAGCATTAGCTGACTTTTTATATGATGTGAATTCATTTTGTTCTCTCAAGTTGATTTTTTTAGCCTAACCATTCATATTTCAGTATGCAGTGAATAAGAATTTAAGCAAAACAAATTTTACATTTTCCCTAATAGAAATCTATTCTTTCAAATGTATCTACTTAGAGTTGCTAAAATTCCAAAGTTCTTGCAAAAATATCTTTTAGTTTTATAAAATTCACATAGAATGTTGTTTTGGCAGGTTTCTGAAGGTTTGTGGATCCGAATTAGTACGCCTTGAATTGTCTTGCAGCCACTTTCTTAATGAAACTTGCTTAGAAGTTATTTCTGAGATGTGTCCAAATCTACAGGCCTTAAATCTCTCCTCCTGTGATAAGCTACCACCTCAAGCTTTCAACCACATTGCCAAGTTATGCAGCCTTAAACGACTTGTTCTCTATCGAACAAAAGTAGAGGTGAGAGTAATTCATAATTTTCATCATTGCTATTATGGTAGCCAACTGAAGATTTGGTTTTCTGTAATTGCTCATAATAATGTGTTTTTTATTTTTAAATCAAGTTTATGATGCCTTCTGACTACTCTGAAATCAATAGAGCTGATTCAGTCATTGTGAAGTTATTTCAAACCTAATATGCTTTTAAATTATAAGGAAATGTTCTTCTCTATGCTCTTAAAATTTTTGTGATGCTATTTATGTCCCCAGGAAAAAAAATAAGCGTTGGTTGAGGTAAGCCAAAATGCTGGCAGGGAATGAATTAGAGAAAGGTAGGAGGATAATATGTAAGAGGACATTTGCTTGCAGTGGGAGGAAGCAAAGTGATATTTATCCTGGACCAGACTTGGGGGTTAAAATTTGTAATACCATAGTTAATGAGTCTCATTTAAAAAGGAATCATGTCATATATATTAGTCTACTTGCTTTTTCACTAATATCTCTAGGACATGTTTCCAGGGTCAGTGCATATATTATCTAACTCTTTTACTGTAATAGTGTATGTTATACCATAATCTATTTAACATTCTCCAAATGATCAACATTTAGTTTTTCCAGTTGTTTTCCTTTTACAAACTACCTAGCACTAACATTCTTCTGTGCATAGTTTTTTTTTTCTTTTTTGAGACGGAGTCTCACTCTGTTGCCCAGGCTGGAGTGCAATGGCATGGTCTCAGCTCACTGAAACCTCCGCCTGACCAGTTCAAGCGATTCTCCTGCCTCAGCCTCCTGAGTATCTGGGATTACAGGCACGTGCCACCATGCCCAGCTAATTTTTGTATTTTTAGTAGAGACGGGGTTTCACCATGAGCCTGTGCATGGTTTTACACATACTTACTATTACTGCTGTTGGATAGAGTCCTAGAGGTGGTATTGCTAGGTTAAAGAGTATGTACCTGGGCCCCTGTAGTACATACTGTTTGTCATATACTTTTTCCCTCTGCTGCATGCATATTGGCCTTCTTTCTATTCCTTGAATGTTCTGACCTGGTCCCAGCTCAGGGCTTTTGTTTTTTTGCCTGTCTGGAATGTTTGTCTAGCTCATTATGGCTGCCCTTTTTTCAGCTCAGTGTTCAACTTGCATATTTTTTTAGAGATGGCTTCCTGGATACTGTAGCACCCCTTCTAGTTTGTTTCCTTCATATCATCAAGTTTCATTTCCTTTTTAACATCCTTGTCACTCTCTGAAATGATACTTGTTTTCTTGCTTATTTTCTGTCTTCTCACATTAGGATATAATGGTAGAAGCCTTGTTGGTCTTTTTCATTGCCATATTTCCAGAATCTAGAATAGTACTTGGTAAAGATTGGCCATTCAGTAAATATTTGTTAAGTAAATGAATAAAGATAACCAAATTACTTTTCCAAAATGATATACCAGTGACTTGGGAGACTGGATTAGTTCTGGTGGGAATGGTTTGGTTCCCAAGAGAGCAGGTGGTTGTAAAGCAAGGATGCCTTTTGTGTTTGGCCTCTTTGTACTGTCTGCCTCCCCTTTGATCTTCTGCCATGTTAAGACACAGCAGGAAAGCCCTTACCAGAAGCCGAGCAGATGACAGTGCCATGCCCCTTGAAATTCCCAGCCTCCATACCTGTGAGCTAAATAAACTCTTTTTCTTTATCAGCTACCCACCCTCAGGTATTTTGTTATAGCAACACCGAATGAATTAAGATGGCATTATTCTCAATTTTGGGCAAAATATTTAGCTAGGCTTCAACAGGTGACCTGGCAGGGTGGAAAGAAGACTTTGATTCTAGTTCTAGCCCTGCCAGCAATAAGCTTGGTAATCTAGGTGAAGACATTGTCTCAGATTTCCAGATTTTTTATTTGTAAAATGAAATAATTATTGTCCCTGAATGCCAGATGATATTAGCCTGTGTTTTCATTGGTCTGTGGTGAAATGACTCCCCATTTGTGTGGGTATAAAATTGCTAGCTATCTTTTCTTGGGTAGGACTGTTCATTCTGAAATTATGCCATACCTGCTTTTTACTGGCACATTTACTATTTTATGGGCCTAAGTACTATAAACGAAATCCTCTGAGCAAGGAGGATTTAAATGCCTCATTTAAAATTTTCTGATTGTTTAATAAGAAATATAGCAGGCATAATTATTAAATGTAGTTATTAAATGAGCCTTTGAGAAGAAAAATAGGGTAAAAACCAAAAAAATATTAACTTGCTAGGCATCTTATATCTATTGTGGCTTGTGAAAATATATCCCATGAGATGTTTTTGAAATGTTGTATAGTAATGTGATCTAAGTGTCAGAGAATTATTAGTCTACAGTTTTCTTAAATTTGTTTCAGACTGATAGATATGACCAAATTTTTTAAGTGTGATTTATGAGGATTAAGAAGATTTCATATCTGAAGAGTGGAAATTTATACATATGTACCTAGGTCTAGATAGCATAAGCTCTGGTTTCCCTCAGTTACTTAAATACAGATGTAAAATCATTGTATGAATATATTAAATAAAATTTAGGTTGTACCCTCTGTTACTTCCTATTAAATTTTTTTTATTGGCTCATCTGGTAAAATATCATAAACACTACGTAATTTTTCTGACATTGAATATGTAGAAAAAAATTATAAAACTGAGTTTTCAGTGATCTATGGTTGACTTAAAATTAAAGATGCTGTTATTTTAGTGATATAAATGGCAAATGTGAAATTTAGAAAATCTTACCCAGGCAGTGTTTACTTTTAATGCCTCCGAACTCATTGCTTTCTACCTATACTTCACTCTCTTATTGTCTCCTCATTCTTGGGATCTGTATCAGAGTCCCACATGGGCACTAAGTAAATTAGAAAAAGGAGAGTTGGCAAAATAATCAGCTGATTTCTTTAAAAACAAACAGAAGCTACAGCACTAGTATTCATGGCAATCTGTAAACACCTCCATTGTCACTTAAGCAAAGCGTTATGTCACCTCCTTCTTCCTTTGATACACACACTCCTTTTACCTTGCACCTAATGATGGTGTATGAGAGCAAACAGAGAATGAGAAGACAAGGTGTAGGAGACTGGTCTCTCTTTAAATGTTCCACAAAATCACTGGCAGTATATTCTCATTCTAGACTCTGTTTTGAAGAAGGAGCAGTAATTGATTTCAAATGCCTCTGCTTGCTCTAAGGACATACGTGAAAAGAAAAAGAAGATAATAATTTTAGTTTTCTTGGAGAGGTTATTTTGTTTTAAAAGGGCTACAAATTATCTGGTACCACTTTAACCCTGTTTTCCTGAACCCTACAAAATTCTAAAATAAGCAAAAATTAGTATTAAAAATATGGATTGTATTATAGCATATTAACTTCACAGAGACCAGTTTATGATACAATACTGTTACATTTTATGTGCCTTTACATAATTTGCATTAATAAATATAGTATATTTATGCCATTTTACAAGACTTAGACAAGTCCGTATGCATAATGCATAAAGCTTTTGAGGATTTTGAAGACCTGGATTTTTAGTCCCAAAGTTTGGGAAAAAGCTACTGAATATATTCTGTTGGCTGTCCTAGATATTTTGCATTATTATTTCTTTACACCAGTCTGAATAGGGTTGGTGGTATTCTCATCTTTACACATAATTAAATTATGGTCTCAAAAGATTAATAAATTGCCTGCTGGCACAAGCAATAGAGTCAGGATTTGAACTCAGGTCTTGTGGCCTTGGTGTTGTAGTTAAAATTATAACATATATAAAAGCATAGAATAGTAGTTATTCTGATAGCTTGGCTATTTACCTAAAACAAGGATTTTCTTTACTACTTACTATTTCTAATTTGTAGTTGGTAAGGAGATACAACATAGTAACTAACATATACAACATTATAATCCATGATAAAATACAGACTATTATGTTTATGTTTTATAAATATCTTCTGCAGGAAAACGGATTTTTTGTCTTTTTACTATGAACAAGCTTAGTTTGAAGTCTTAGTTGTTCTGAATTTATAAATCACAATTTGTTATTCAAATTACATTTAGAAACATTTAAGTGAAAGTTTGTAGAATCAATACATAATTAACTGCTTTAAGTAAGTAGTTTATATAGGCCTACTCTCAATTTTATACTGTAATGGAGAGCAGCATTGAGACAGATAATCCTCAAAATAATTTTGACATGTAAAATGATGTGTTGTTGATAGCTAGGTGATGTATTCTTAAGTCGTTAGCCATAGCCAGGCATGCAGCAGGCCTGATGACTCAGTAAGAATGAGACCTCAGGAGAATAGAACTGTGGCAGGGTCAGAATTGTCTTGTATGCTGATGTGGGTCCCTCCCTGCATCAGTGGTTGTTCAGAATTTTTAGCCTTATAAGATAGTAAAATATAGTTCAACTTGGTTTCTTAATTTATTTCATGAGATCTTTTTCTTTCTTTAGATGTGTTTAGGATTACAATGAAAAATGACTTCATCAGAGAAATAACAAATGTCTTATAAATTTAGCAAAGAAAATTCACTAACTAAGCTATGTGCAGAGTCAGTGGCATATATTTGTTGAATTTCATTAGACTCAGAGCATTAAATACATGCTTAGTAAAGAACAACATACTATTACATCAATAAAAGACAGAATGGACGGGTATACAGTAAGCCCAAATATATGCTCGCATTGTCACAGGCTTGTCCTTAGTTGGAGGGTGATCTGTGTTGGGAAACCTTTTTAGAAGAAATTACTCTTGAGCTGAGATTTATGCCCTGTTTAGTGTGTAATCCCAGAATTACTAGTGAAATGGGTTGGTAAATAGGGTAATTTTTTTTCCTCCTGAATTTGGTGGATCTTTTAGAGTTGAATAGACAGCACTTTCTGCAACAGATGGGGATTTAGACAGGGAGGACACTTTAGTTGTGCTTAGTTTCTTCTACCATCCGTGGCATGGAAATAATTAGGTATTATAATGATTTAAAGGACTTAAGTTCAGTCTTTTTGGTTCTTTTCTTTTCATAAGATTCTTATTAGGTACGATAAAGCATTGATTGCAAGTACTTCTTTAACCATACATGATGATGTATTTTCGTGAAAGTAGAGCTGTAAAAATCTAGCCCATTCAGCTGGGCTCAGGGGCTCATGCCTGTAATCCCAGCACTTTGGGAGGCTGAGGCAGAAGGATCACTTGAGATCAGGAGTTCAAGACCAGCCTAAGCAACATAGCAAGACCCCATCTCTACAGAAAATTTAAAAAATTAGCTGGACATGCCCCTGTAGTCCCACTCAGGAGACTGAGGTGGGAGGATCACTTGAGCCCAGGAGGTCGAGGCTACAGTGAGCTGTGATTGTGCCACTGCACTCCAGCCTGAGTGACAGAGCAAGACCCTGTCTCAAAAATAAAATAAATCTGACTCATTAAATTGATTTTTAAATACTTGAAAAAAACTTTTATTTTGAAATAATTTCCGACTTACAGAGAAATTGAAAAAAAAAATGATTTCTTATGTATTTTCACCCAGGTTCCCCTACTATATGCATAATTGTTTTAGTGAACCATTTGAATATAAGTTGAAAACATAATAACCCTTTACCCCTGGGGCATTATAAGTGAAAGACATAATTTGCCCCTAAAAGGGCATATATCTGTAATGTACTTTCAAATACTTGTGTTATGGGCTGAATTGTATCTCCCTGAAATTCGTACATTGAAGTCCTACCCCCCAGTACCTAAGAATGTGACTGTATTTGAGACAGGGTTTTTAAAGAGGTAATTAAGGTTAAATGAGGTCATTAGGGTAGAGCCTAATCCAATATGACTGGTGTCCTTAAGGAAGAGGAGATTAGGGGACACACACACAAGGAAGACCATGTGAAGACAATGGAAGAAGATGACCCGCTACAAGCCAGTAAGAGAAGTCTTAGAGGAAACCAACTCTGTTGACACCTAGATCTCAGATTTCTAGCCTCCAGAATTGTAAGCAAGTAAATTTCTGATGGTTAAACTACCTAGTCTATGATACTTTGTTATAGCAGCCCTAGAAAACTAATACACCTTGTATAGGATAGCATAAGAAAAGTTTTTTAACATAGTGCATGAGAGTGTCTTTAAGATAAGTCCCACACGTACTAAAACAATCTGGACTAGTTTTAGAAGTTTGAACCTGTTTACCTTTTCTCTGTTTGGGGAAAAAAAAAATCTGGAGTCAGGGGTGAAAGTGGGGCATGATAGGTAGCTCAGTAAGAATGTTATTCTGTTGCTTAGCAGCAGACTGGAAAACCAGGAGTGTTTTTTAAAAGTTGGAGTTATAAATGGAACACCTGCATCCAGTTTTGATTGCCTCACTTCAAGAATGATAGAGCATAAATTGAAAGAATCTGAAGAAGTGAAAAAACTGATTATAGGTATTGTGGGGGACTAGTATATGACAGTAATCCATAAGTATGGTTCAGCATCTGTTTACTTGGCCTACTCAGCTGTGTCGACAGTTTCAAGGACCCCTCTGCTTTTATCTTCATGAACTAGAAGACAACAAAAGAAGTTGATCTTTACTTCTGTAGGATATTAACACTCTCCTATTTTTTTCTTTCTGTGCCAGTTTATTTGGCAGAGCATATATATAAGTAAAATTGCACACCAGCCTGACTGTTAATGAAAGCAGCTGGGCTTTCTACAAAAGGTGTATTAACTGTCTTTTGAAAGAGTGTGATTTAATTTAGTGCTACGAATTTGTTTTCTGACATGCGTATATGGTGGTCTCCTTACTGCATTCTTATTTGATTTAAACAATACATTATTGTATTTTGGTAAGTAGAGCAGGGATGAGCTTTCTTTTAAAAGAGCCATTGCAGCTAACAAAGTCAGACTATAAGACCAAACTGATTGGCAAATGAAGAGGGTGGCTTCTCACTTACAGAGCCAGTGCTGGTAACTAAGACGAGGGTGAGAAATTAAAATAGAAAGAACCGGCTTTGGTCACCTAAATTAACTAATGCAGGATGTTGTTAGTTGTCATCTAAAATGCAGTCTATTTAAAATAGAAATGTTAATATAGCTAGATAATATGTAAAACAGAAAGATATTAGTAATTACTTTGTTCTTAAACACAATCAAGAATCAATAGTTTTAATAGCTGATAATAAGTTTAATTATCACAGATAAAACTAACAAACTTTCTTAGAGTCCTTGGTATGTGTCTCTAGGCTATATTTCTGTATCCTGATTGGCCTTGTAGAACTTTCAATGGGAATAGGTGACTTGGTGGGGTGAGTATGTGTGCCCTGAATGAATGGACTGTAGTCCAGTTACAGTCAAGAAGCCTAACTTGTGAGTGCAGAGGTGGGGAAGATAATCTTTTAATGGGGGCAGACTCCTTATCAAACACAACCATGACAGTGACCAATAAGCCAGGTGTAAGAAATCTACCTGGAAAGGACACCATTCATTAGAGATGGCTGATTAACCCATCCTCTCACAGTTGGCATGTCCTGAGGAAAGCCAAATTAAAGTTATAGGACTGTTAATATGTAAACTGCCATGTCTTTAAATTTTTTTTTTTTTTTTTTTTGGTAGAGATAGGGTCTCACTGTGTTTCTCAGGCTGGTCTCAACCTCCTGGGCTCAAGTGATCCTCCTGCCTCAGCCTTCAAGTGCTTGGATTATATGCATGAGCCACCACATCCAGCCCCATGTCTTTTTGACTGCAAATCTCTGCATCCATTGTAGGTTGTTATGCAAATTGATCAGTCGAGTATCTGTGAGGAAAGATGTATTCGACTATATTATTGTAGGAAAGATCCAATACAGTGATAAAAATAGGCTTCAAAATGAGACTGCAGGGCAAGGCAAAGGTGTGTGAACATTTAGTCTTAGATTTTGTTTCATCACACACAAGGATTTTAAGAATTTGACAAATTATCTGAACCTTAAACTGAAACTTGTATGTTAGAGCTAAAATTCTGAGTCTGTGGTCTAGGGTAGCTATTAAACATCTACAGTTAGGTTTAGAGAACTTCTTTTTCCTCAAAGGCAGTGTAAGGAACTTTATTAATTTTTGCAATTTATGATATTTAGCCTTTTCTTTTTAGAGATCTGTCAGAATTCTAACTCTCCACCACAATGTTGATCTTAAAGTTGTGAAAGACAATATTATTTTCAAGGTGATTATGTATCAGTATATAATCTATACCATATTGTGTATTTGAACTGTATAAAAGAATAACTTCTAATAGATGGTTCATAGCAAATCTGGACAAAGTAATTGGATTTAAATATTCTAAAATGGTGATTATTTCTACATATGTTTAGTTTCAAGTACTTTAAATAGTTCTTAAAATACTTCAACTTTTTTTTTGTTGTTTTTTTTTGTTTTTGAAATGGAGTCTCGCTGTGATGCCCAGGCTGTAGTGCAGTGGAGCGATCTTGGCTCCCTGCAACCTCCGCCTCCCTAGTCCAAGCAATTCTCCTGCTGCAGCCTCCCGAGTAGCTGGGACTACAGGCGTGTGCCACCATGCCCGGCTGATTTTTATACTTTTAGTAGGGATAGGGTTTCACCATATTTGCCAGGCTGGTCTTGAACTCCTGACCTCAAGTGATCTGCCGGCCTCAGCCTCCCAAAGTGCTGGGATTACAGGCATGAGTTACTGCACCTGGCTTTCAACTTTTATTCTATATTCTTCTTCACCAAGTTTATTGAAATTGGAAGAGTGGAGCCAAAAAAAATTTAATTAGAGAAAGATTTACACTTATACATGTATTTTACACTCCAGTAATTGAGTGGTTGTGTTCTTAGGATTTCTTTGGAGACATTTGTTATGCAAATTTATGAATTTTCATTTAGTGAATATACTTTTATAAAATTTCACCACCTTACTCTGAGATAGTGCTCTGATGTGTTTGAAATGTAGTATAATCAATGAAAGTACATTTGTTTCTGATCACGTTATATAACTAGTCTATATTTTAGCTAGTCTTTGTCTGTAATATGTACACTTGTTACCTATCCCTTATTAATATGCTTTCTAGGAATCATGTTTTAGAATGGAGAATACTAATTTGGAATCCTACTGTCCTATATTGAGTGTTATAATTAAGGGTTACATTCTTTATTAAAGATAACCAACAATTCTTAACACTGAGCAAAAAAAGTCATAAACTAGTTGTAACAGCTAAAAACTTACATTAATGTAAAATAGCAAACATATTACTGCATACATTGATTATACAAGGTCTCAGTATATTATAAAATGTACAGGTATGCATAAATATAATTCTAAGCTATAAATCTGGACTATCTAAAAGTTATATTTGAGTATAATAAATATTGGTTATTTTTATTAAGTAGTTTTGCTTAGCACTTTAGAAGCCTGGAGGGTGGGAAGTTATAAAGTTTATGGGTAACGTTTCTTAAAAAGCTGTCAATGAAAATTTGAATTAATGCCTTTTATCTATTAATAAATTTCTTCTTAACAAGTAAAGGCATTAATAATAATTCTTTATAACTGAATGGCACTTCATATCTGCATACACCAAACTTCCACATCTGTTATCCATCATTTCACTAACTAAAACTGTTTTTGAAATTGAAACCATTGTTTTTTTTTTTTTTTTTTTGAGACAGGGTGTCACTCTGTCACCCAGGCTAGAGCAGTGGTGTGATCTCAGCTCACTGCAACCTCTGCCTGCCAGGTTCAAGTGATCCTTCTAGCTCAGCCTCCAAAGTATCTGGGACTATAGGCATGCACCACCGTGCCAAGCTAATTTTTGTATTTTTTGTAGAGATGGGGTTTTGCCATGTTCCCAGGCTGGTCTCAAACTCCTGAGCTCAAGTGATCTGCCCACCTCAGCCTCCCAAAGTGCAGTGAAATCATTTTCTTAGCAGTAGTCATTGTAGTCATTGTAGTAGTCTGAGTATTTGGAAGCTTCACTAAAGGACACTAGGGGGAATAAACTTGCTAAACAAACAAGAAGGCAGTTGTGAAAGTAGGGGGAAACAGTCTTCCTCCTGTTATAATCATTGGAGTATGGTGTTTATGGACTAATTCCTTTGCAGTCCTTTCCTGAGTTGTATAGGAAGGTCCGGAACCCTGATGCTATAAGCATGCTTTACAGTTGTTTTTGCCTAATTGCATTAATAAAAACTGTTCACGTTGAACTTGTCTCTTGCCTTTCTCTCCAGTTATAACTTGTTATAATATTTTGCTGTTTACTTCTTTACCTTTGGCATTTCACAATGGCTGAGTGTCATGTGACCAACTTGAATATTTAATTATGTGTTTACTCTTCCAGTTTGATCCCAGGTTAAGAAGCGTATGCTTCTTATGTGTGGCGAATTGTTGAATTTATTACTTGAAGTTATTCATTGGGTTTTGAAGCTGCTGAACAGGGTTAATAGGTAGATTTTAGGTGGAATGTAAAATAAATCATTGTTTATGAACATGTATTCTACTGCTAGATGACAGCATGCACCTAGAGTATGTTTTGGTAATTCTGTAGAAGAAATTATCATGGACCCAGTCACTCCTTAGTGAATGCCTTGCCATAGTTGTTTAAGTAAGGTTGCCCTTTGTTTGAAAATTACAAACTCATTTGAAAATGAATCTGCTGCCTTGCACTATTAAAGCTGCTATTTTAATTATATTTTAGTTTTATAGAACTACTCTTGTACTTCTATTGAATGAGTTTTGAGACCTAACCAGCAGAATGTGTAGACTTGGGGACCTGAAAGATACTTTATGTCTTAAATAAGAGGTTCATAGAATTTTTCACTTTTCATTTCTGAATAAATACTGTGCCATTTTCACAGTACACCTAATAATATAGCTTTGATCCATCCATTTGTGTGTTCTAGATATGTAGCAGTGCTGCATATACTCATTATAGTAGAATTGTTTTGTTCTCCTAAGTAGAGATTGGCAAACTTTTTCTGTGAAGGGCTAGGTAGTAAATACTTTAGGCCTTGCAGGCCCTATGGGCTCTATCACAGCTACTCAATCCTGCTGTTGTAGTGTGAAAACAGTCACAGACAATACATTAATGAGTGGGAATGTCTGTGTTCCAGTAAAACTTTATTTACAAAAACAGGCAGTAGGCTGGATTTGGCCTGTGGACAGTAGTTTGCCAACTCCTGCTCCAAACTATTGAGTTGGTGGTCTCTACAAAATCAGGTCCTTCTGTATCTGGAAATGAAGAGTTAATTTCTCCGTAGTTTATTCTCTTTGCTTTGACATCAGTAACAACATTTTAATTCTGAATACTAATAGCATGGAGAAAGAATATTTTAAAGATATTTTAGGAGGAAACGGGTTAACTGGATTTAAAGACATTGTAAACTGATTCCATAGGCATGTTCTCTAAACCTGGGTACTCCCAGAGTCTCTGGCTTTTGCTGATGAGCTTTGCTGGAGAAAGCCATGAAACTGTGTTAATTTGTGCTTACTCACCTCAGTGCTACCTGTCAGCCCTTTGATTTATTTCTATTTGACCTCTTGTTAATTCCTCACAGTATCTCTTCCAAGGTCATCATTGTTCTTTCCATTACCATCACTTCCATCTCGCAATATCTTGGTCTCAGCATTTGATCTCACGTCTCTTATTCAGCAAAGATCAGTTATATCATTCAACATAAATCTCTTTTATTCTATGTTAATTCCTTTTCAAGCTGAGGATTTTAAAAATGATAGTTCTAATATTAAATGATTTTTTAATTCCCAGTTTAATGTACAGACTAAGTTACTGTAAAATATTTGCTGTGAATTCCTCTTCTATGACTTGAAATTCTCCCAGAGAAAATAATGCATCTACCATTTCACAAATGTTTTCTAGACATATATAATTAGACTTCAGTTCAAAAGTGAGTTAGGAGGATATGCTGTTAGGTCTGTGCCTTAAAGTTACAATCTTTAAGATACACAATAAGCAGAAGTTGTGATTTCTCTGAAGAACAGTCCAGACAGGTTAATATAGTATTCTTGACAATAAATATTTTTTCTTACCATTATCTTACTTTTTTTGTTTGTTTCTTTTGCAGACAGGTTCTTGCTCATTCGCTTAGGCTGGAGTACAGTGGCATGGTCACAGCTTATTGCAGCCTTGACCTCCTGGTCTCAAGCAGTCTTCCCACCTCAGCCTCCCAAGTAGCTGGGACCACAGGCATGTGCCACTATTCCTGGCTAATTTTTTTTATTTTTATTTATTTACATTTTTTGTAGAGATGAGTTCACACCATGTTGCCCAGGCTGGTTTTGAAATCCTGGGCTCAAGCTGTCCTCCCTCCTTGGCCTCCCAGAGTGTTAGAATTATAGGCGTGAGCCACCACACCTGGCCTTACTCTTACTTTTAATTCAAAGAACTGATTGTATAGGGAATTTATCTCAAACTGTATCATGAGAATCTTATTGTCCCAGTCTGGGGATAATCAGCTAGGTGACAGTGTTCCAAGCCACCCCACCCAGGAGTTTGGATGGAAGTCTTAGAGAAAGAAGAGATTTTGTTTTGGGCAGATATACCAAAAAGTATATAGTGACCTGGTATTGGCCATGCCTCCTGGTCAGAACTGAGCTAAGCCTTCTACTGGTCCTGCAGTATCCGCAGTGCCACTGCAGAGCAGGACCTCTATACCTTCAGCAGAAGTCCTGGTTCTAGAAGGGAGCAATGTGCAAGACCCTTAGACAAGGAGGAATAAAAAAAGATGGGGTCAGGAGATGGCAGTTCAAAGAAATAGTGAAAGTACCTTGTGAAAAAGAACTAGAAATTTTGAAACATAAATAGACTAAAACAAGAACACATAGTTGTGAAAAAAACTGATTGGAAATCTAGCAAATAAAGTATAGTCATTAGGAAATAATGAATAGATGTGATAAATTCTAAATTGGACACAGGATTACTAAATTAGAAGAGAAGTCTGAGGAATGTACTCAGATTTCTAAAAGGTATGTCAGACACTGCTGTAAGTTTTATACACACCCACACAATCTCAATCAATAAATCTCTCTCTCTCTCTCTCTCATTTACTCCTAAGGCAAGGCAGTCCTACTCATTTAATAAATATATATTGTGCCTACTATATACTAGTGACTCTGTTATTTATCTATTGCTATATATCAATTGCTTCAAAATTAGTGGCTTAAAACAACCTACATGTATTATCTCACACGTTTTCTGTGGGTCAGGAACCTGGGAGTGGTTTAGCTGGGTAGTTTTGGCTCAGGGTCTCTAAGGAGGTTGCAGCCAGGTTGTTATCTGGTGCTTGACTATGGCTGGTGGCTCAGCCTCCAAACTCAGGGGGATGTTGCTACAGTTCCCCTTCAGCTTGTGACCAGAGGCCCCTGTTCCCTCCACACAGGCCTCTCCATAGGCTGCCTGAGTGTCCTCATGACATGGCAGCTGGCTTCCCCACAAGGGATCAAGTTGGGAGGGAGGAAGCCAAGACAGGAGCCACAGCCTTTTTATAACTGTATTAGGAGGGTTCCAAATCAGAACCAATAGGAGATAAAGATATTTATTATAAGGAATTGGCTGACATGATATGAGGCTGGCAAGTCTCAAAATCTGCAGGACGAATTGGCAAGCTGGAAACCCAGGAGAGCTGATAGTGTAGTTGTAGTCTGACAGGTAGCAGGTTTAAGACCCAGGAAGAGCTGATGTTTCAGTTTATAACCAAATTCAGGAAGAAACCAGCGTCCCAGTTTGAAGGCCATCAGACATTGTTTTTTTTCCTGAATTTGGAAGAATTCTCTCTTATTTGAGGGAGGGTCAGCCTGTTTTTTCTATTCAGGCCTTCAGCTGATCAGATGAGGCCCACCCACATTAGGTAGGGCAATGTGCTTTATTCAGTCTACTGATTTAAATGTTAATCTCATCCAAAAACAACCTCACAGAAACACCCAGAATTGGCAGGGCGTAGTGACTCACACCTGTAATTTCAGCACTTTAGGAGGCCGAGGTGGGTGGATTATGAGGTCAGGAGGTCGAGACCATCCTGGCCAACATGGTGAAACCCCACCTCTGCATAATATAAAAATTAGCTGGGTGTGGTGGCACATGCCTGTAATCCCAGCCACTTGGGAGGCTGAGGCAGGAGAATCGCTTAAACCAGGGAGTCAGAGGTTGCAGTGAGCTGAGATTGTGCCACTACACTCAAGCATGGGGACAGAGTGAGACTCCATCTCAAAAACAAACAAACACCCAGAATTATGTTTAACTAAATATCTGGGTACCCCATGGCCTAGTAAGGCTGATACATAAAATTAACCATCATAAATGTAATATTGAAAGTGACCTATATCACCTCTACAATATACTGTTTGTTAAAAGTGAGTCGCTAAGTTAAGCCCACTCTCTCAAAGGGAGAGGAATTAAGCTCTACCTCTGGAAGGAAAGCATATAGAATAACACGTGGACATATTTTTCAAACCACTCTAACCGCTGGTACTAGGAGACTCCAGTGTTATACTCCAGTGTTCATTGAATAGAAGTTACTGAAGAAAAAAATGGAAGGAATGGTAGAAAAGTAATATTTGAAGAGAGAATTGTTAAGAATCATTATCTTTCATGAAGAGAGATATGAGTCTTCAGATCAAAATGGGCACTTGGGGTTTTAAACAAAATAAATGAAAATACATTTTTAGACAGATTGTGATGTAATTGCAGGAGATCAAAAATAAAGGGACAAGAGCTATCAGAGACAAAAGATATATTACCTGCAGAGGAAAACAATTAGATTGACAGTAGACTTCTTATCAAGTAAGAGACTCATAAGCAATGGAGTAATGTTTTCAGAGTGTTGAAAGAAGGTAACTGTCATCTGAAAATTCGAAGTCTAGCTAAACTTTCGTTCTAGATTGAGGAAAAATCTCAAATATGCACAATAAAATTTATTTTAAAAAAAGATTGAGGGTAAACATTAAGTTATTTAAGTTTCTGTCTTTCTGATTCCCCATTTATAATGATAGGATAGGTAAATAACGGTATTTACCTTATAGGTTAACTGTTCTGTTCACTGTTATATCCCAAGTGCCTAAACGGTGCCTAACACATAGTAGGCATGCAATAACTGTTTATTAAATGAATGAATGAGTGAATAGGATTGTTGTGAGGATTTATATATATAAAGAATTTACAGCAATGCTACCTGACATGTTAATAAGTACTCAATAAATGTTTGTTGTTAAGATTTTATCACCTGTAGACACTCAGTAAAAGAACAATTAAAAATATTTCTCAACAAAAAGACAAATTCTGTAAGGAAGTATCAGATATAAAAAAAAATTATGACACAGAAATTGATAAAATGCTAGTAAATTAACTAATGACCATGGAGGGGAGATTAATTTAAGAAAAATTAATCTTTTTGTATTATTTCTAAAAGGTAAAAACTAAAACCTTTAAGGTGATTCTAAAGTTCACATGAAAGAGCAAAGGGCCAACAGCAGCTAAGAGATGTTTGAAGAATGAGGAAAAGCTATTTGCCATACTAGATTTAAAGACTTATGAAGTATAATAATTAAGACAGAAATGTTGGTGCAGGGAATGGAAAATAGACCAGTGAAACAAAATGACCCAGAAGTAGACTCATGCGTATATGGAAACCTTATATATGACAGAAAGCATTACAAATCAGTGGATACAATGAAGTCTTCAATAAATCAAACTGGAACAATGTGGGGAAAATGAAATTTGATATCCTACCATATAAGAATCAATTGTAGTTGGGTTAAAAACCTAAGTGCAAAAAAGAAAGACTCTAAAACTCTGATTTTAAAAAAAAAGAATCTTAGATTCTTCCTTAGCTAAAGAAGAACTTTTTGGAAAAAACAACAGGATACAAACATAAGGGGGAAAAGGATTAATGGCACATTTAATATAGTCATATTAAAATTTAAAATGTTCACATCTCAGAAAATCCAGTAAACAGTGAAAAGACATGCCTCAGAGAAGGTATTTATAGCTGATATAACTGACAAAGATTGGTATCCAGCATGAATAAAGAATTCCAGAAGTCAAGAAGGAAGAAACAACCCAATGGAAAGAAAAATCAGCAAAGGATGTGATTAAGCAATTTACAGAGCAGGAAATATGAATGGCCAATGAACATATGAAAAGATCTTCAGTCTCACTAGTAATCATACTAATGCAAATTATACCATTCTGTACTCATGAGACAGGCAGATATTAAAAAGGATGAAAAGTCTACGTATGTTGGTAAAGATGTGGGGACCTAACAGTCTTACAGTACTGATGGGAGAATAGGTTAATTTAAGCACTCAGAAGAGCTATTTTGCAAAGCCAAATAAAGTCAAAGAATACATAAACACCTGGAAATTCTCCTTCTGGTGTGTTCTCTAGAGAAATACTCTTCTATAAATGCACAAGGAAGCACATAAAGGAATGTTTATTCTAACACTGTTTGTAATGGTGAAAATTGTAAGCAACTAAATATCAATCAAATGAGATTGTATGCTATTATATATTTGCATAATGGAATATTATACAATTTCTAATGTTAATATTATATGCTACTTATGGATACATAACGTATAGTAAAATTGTATATTTTCAAGCATGTTTTAAACACCAAGTCATAATAAAGGTTACCTCTGAGGAAGTACGTGAATGGATGGAGGGATACAAAAATGTAGTGAGGTAAACAAAATATTGAGTTGATAAATTGAGTGGTGGCTACATGGTTATTATGGGCATTCTTTTGGACCCTACACTTGTTTGTATATTTGAGATTCTTCATAGTAAGTAATTTAAAAATAAATTACCAAACAAGTTTCATTAAAGATTAGTGGACTAGAGCTATATGTATCAACATGGACAGATCCCTCACACTGATGAAGAAGATGCAGAAGTATATTCACATCGTAATACCATTTATATAGAAACCATGTAGAACAATATTATGTGCTACTTATGGATACATAATGTATTGGAAAATTATATATTTTCAAGCATGTTTTAAACACCGAGTCATGATAAAGTTTACCTCTGAGGAAGTATGTGAATGGATGGAGCCATACAACAATGTAGCCAGATAAGCAAAGAATGTCAAAATGTTAAGAGTTGACAAAACTGAGTGGTGGCTACATGGGTGTTATATTGGAACCTATACTTGTTTGTGTATTTGAGATTCTTCATAGTAAGTAATTTAAAAATAAATTACCAAACAAGTTGTGTGAATTATATGTATGTGTGTATTTATCTCTATGTATGTGTATTTTTTAATTTAAAATTTCTTACCAACAAGAATTTATGAGATTCTTTCTAAAAATTCTAATATTCTCTGGATCTTACTTAAGGGAAAATCTTATAAAACAACCTTTTAATATGGATATGGTCCTGTAATTAAAAAAAAAACAAACCTAATGTTATGTTCCTGTCTGTTAATTAGTTAACAT
Source organism: Homo sapiens (assembly GCF_000001405.40). Classification (NCBI taxonomy): domain Eukaryota; kingdom Metazoa; phylum Chordata; class Mammalia; order Primates; family Hominidae; genus Homo; species Homo sapiens. The sequence goes on along the minus strand of NC_000006.12, from coordinate 98,881,891 downwards.
GGCTAAGTATTGTGAAGAACCTGAAAATTAAATTATCTTAATATACCCTTTCTAATGTTAACATTCTGAGAGCTACATGGGATTGTTTTATAAATGTTGTTATGTTGAAACTTAAGTATAAAATCAATATAAACTTTTTTTGTTTAAATTCAAAGAAATGCTCAATAATGAAATAATTAGACTTAAGTATAATAGTCCTCTGTGGCCTATTGTAACTATTATTATTTTTGCTTTAAGTAACCTTACATTTGAGAAATATTTTATTACTTTATTTTCTCAATGAGAATCTTTATCTGGGATTTGACCAAATGTTTTACATTTTCATTGACACATTCTTCACCTTTCCCTCAACTGATAGTTTTTAGTTTCTGATCACTTGGAACAGATTTTTACAGAAGTTGTATAATATCTTAATTTTTAAATATATTTAAAAATGTATAAGATATTTTGCCATGTAAGTTTGAATAGTTTTCTCCTTAATTGATAAAAGAAAAATTAGAAATTTGAATATTTTGCATTATTTTGTTTTTCACAATTTTTCATAGCAGACTTTTTTAAAAAAATATTTTAGGGTGCCATGATTATGTAGCAGTCTTTGGGTTTCTTTAGTGGTGAGACCATTTTCATTGCACAGGATAGATGGGCTTAAATGGCAGGAACATGACTAGAAAGTACATATTATATATATTTCAGTCAGCATGTTGCTACTGACAGGTGCTCAATGGTTGTTGGTATCCTTGTCAGCAAAGAGAATCCTTTGACATTAAAGTCACCAGCTCAATCCTGATTTGGGGTGACTCTATTGGCAGTTCCATCAAGCTGCAGCTGATCAGTGAATGTCAGAGCTGCAGCCATTCTTCAGGAGTGTCACCAGCCTGCTGCGGGTTTTTTGTCTTTTTGTTTTTGTTTTTGGAGGGAGGAGTGGTTTAGCTTGTCTTGTTGTTCAATTGTAGCCAGACTTTCAAATTGCTTACCTTTGGGAAATGAACCGAGAGGTCATAGGGAATATAGGTATCTTTAGGGCATCCAAAACCATACACAAAGTGATTACTTACATGGAGACTAGTAATGATTACCTTGACTCCAAGCCAATCAATGGTGGAGCCTCTGGGGACTCATTAAATGGCATTTGTGGACTCTGTAACCTAGCTTTTGAGCTGCATTTCAGGAAAAGCAGTGACAGCCTTTAATGTCTAATTGACCTCTTCTCTTTGTTTCACTTTCATTCACTTTCCATATTTGCCTCTGATGTGGTCCCTAATGGCAGCAAACAGCACTGCTCAGCATTTTGAACTTCTGTTCAGAGCTTCAGCACCTCAGTTTAGGCAGTTGTGTCATGGTAAGTGTTTGAGAATTCTTTATACTACTCAATTACTTGTTCTCTTTTTCTTCCTATGGGTGAAATGTATCCTGACTCACCCTACCCCACACACACCCACAGTTTTTCAGATTTATGGTTCTCTTCTTTGTCCCTTGCTTTCAAACATTTTTCTTAAATTGGAAAGTATGTCTTTGAAACACTGACATTATTTATCCATGAGAGCAAGGAAAGAAGTATAGTGTGGTGGAATAGAGTATAGTTCTGCCTCAAGCCAGATGTTGTCTCCGACAAGCTAATCACCTCTCTAGGTTTCTTCACAAACTAAGGTGTTAGTCATACCTAAATGCCGATAGTTCAGTAAGTTTTTCACTAAGCTCATTTTAGCTTTTAAATCCTGAGATACTTTTCTTGAAATTTTAATGATAATAGATAGGTTTATTTTATCTGTTTGTTTTTGTGTTTGTTTTACTGTCCTTACTGGTCAAAACAGAAAGATTAACACCCTATGTTGGAACTCTTTTTTGTGTGTGGAAATTTTACTGGTCTGTGAAATATAAAAGCCTAGGGACTGTTGGACTAGATAAGCTTCAAAGTCCTTCCAGATTTTTTTTTTTTTTTTTTTTTTTTTGAGATGGAGTCTTGCTCTGTTGCCCGGGCTGGAGTGCAGCGGCGCGATCTTGACTCACTGCAATCTCCGTCTCCCGGATTCAAGCAATTCTCCTGCCTCAACCTCCCAAGTAGCTGGGATTACAGGGATGTACCACTATGCCCGGCTAATTTTTTTGTATTTTTAGTAGAGATGGGGTTTCACCCTATTGGTCAGGCTGGTCTTGGGTTTCACCATATTGGGCAGGCTGGTCTTGGGTTTCACCATATTGGGTAGGCTGGTCTTGAACTCCTGACCTTGTGATCCGCCCGCCTCGGCCTCCCAAATTGCCGGGATTACAGGTGTGAGCCACTGCGCCCAGCCTAGTCCTTCCAGATTTAAAATACGATTTTATGTGCCCTTGAAAGAGCTCATGGAAAGAGTTAAATGTTTTAATCTAAACCACATAATTATATAGCTTTTAAATAATACTGAGATATAAAGGACAATAGAAATCTTGTGTGGAGAAGGTGTGCATGTGTGTGTTTGTGTGCACACATACCGTAAGTGAATCTTCCAGTGTAACTGACTGGAAGAATTCATTCCTCCTCACTTCATCCCCTGTTCCCTAAAACAATGTAGGTTTAGGAGATCCCCAGACCATTCCATTTCTGCCTTGCATTCACTTAGTAGGAAGACTTGAATTAGCAAAATGATTGCAAGATTCTAGAAAACTTCTGGTATGCTAGGGAGTATTTGCTTTAAGTAACCTTACATTTTGAGAAATATTTTATTAGAGTCAATAGACAGGGTCCCTGACCTAAAATGAGTACCATTTGAACACCTCTTAGAGCTCAGTGTGGCTTCAGAAATGCCTCAAGATTTGGCAGTGTAGACTAAGTAGGCCTCTTTTGATGACATATTTATCTCTGTGTCCCCATGGTCTTTAAAATCTTGTGGTTAGGTCTTATTAAACCCTAAGTATGGGCTCAGGCCATCTCAGTCTCTAGAAACAGTCTTGGGAGCCCACTAGATTTTCCTCACTTCTGGTCAAATTCTTTCCATAGTAAGCCATTTGATAGGCTTCTGTGGGTCTCTTCAGTGACTCTTCTTGATGGACCCGATGACATTTGATGGCAGTTTCTGTCACAACAAACCAGCCAGTTACTGCCACTTGGATCTTCCTTATTGCTAGCCTGCTCTCTTTAGATTGGTAAGGACCATTTAACTTTGCTTAGATGTACCTTATTCTGCTTGTTATTTACCTCCCCTTAAACTGGAGCAACATTCCTTAGAAAATCAAGCCTCTGGCCATAGACTCTTTACTGTTGGAATTATATATATGCTTATAATTGAAATTGTATTATTTTAAGTTAGCATTTTCCAGAGTTGACCCATGGAAAATTACCTCTAAAGGATAATCAATTTTAAAGGCTGTGTATTTGGGGGTGGAGTGGAGATTCCTAATGAAATTAGGAAGCCAGGTATGGTTGCTCAAACCTATAGTCCCAACTACTCTGGAGGCTGATGTAGGAGGATTGCTTGAGCCCAGGAGTTTGAGGCTGCAGTGAGCTATGGTTATACCACCGCACTCCAGCCTGGTCTTAGAGTTTTACAATGGTGTGTGCTACAACAAAGAAACTGTTTACCTTTGCTAAAACCAGTGTTTTCAAACCTTGCCTGACTACTGAACTCATTTTTCTATATTACATTTTCCATATTACATTTTATTGTTGACTGTCAATATAATAGCAATGTTTAGATTTGTGATATTTATGAAGCAACTGTTCACAGTATACATACATAGAGCACTGTGCTGACTTTCCCATGGTGATTGTGATCTATTATATACCTTCGCTGAGTATTCACCTCATGGCATACTTTCTCTGTAGTGAGTTTAATGTAGATACTAAATTAGTTGTGTCACTTTTTTTCTGAAACTAATCTTTGTGCCACAAGTGCCAGTTAGACAGATTTGCAGTGACAAGAACTTCTGAGGAGCAGTGTCTCACCTGTAATAAACCTGAATATTCTAGTCAATGCCGTAAACATGTTTTTAGGACTACTTAGAAATATTTATTTTTCCTCTTGATTGGGAAAGAGACAAATTTTATCTATTTCTTTTTACTTCTAAAAATGACTTTAAAAAGTTTAAATTCCACTATTATATAATGCTGATTGAAGTAATTTAAAGTTGCCTAAATTAAAGAATCCTAAGACCTACCTGCTATTTTCTTAAGTTTCCTACTAATTATGTGATCCTGGTTAGGTCACTTAAATTCTTGCTGATAGTTCCTCTGTGACATTTGCCCTATTTTTAAAATTAGATAATGAATAAGAAAATAAATATGTCTAATATTTTTGGGGAAAAAAGAGTCCTGCATAATATCTAAAATTTAGAAGGAATTATAGTTAATAAAGGAGGGATAGGTTGACTTTGTTCCAGTAAAAAGTATTTAGTTTCATTTTTATTTTCCCAGCCCTGAATTTGGCATGAGTAGTGCTGTGATAATTTCACAACAACAACAAAAAACTCTTGAAGGAATTTCTCACTGTGTTCTATGCTAGTAGAGAATTTGTTCAAATGCTGCTGAGATTGCCCAGGCACAAATTGGGCACAGTCAGAATCATAGGTTTCATAAAGTTTTTAAATTTTTTTTTTCTAAGTAAGCTAATTGGCTGCCCTAATTATCAAACCCACAGTTTTGTATTGTTCAGGTATACTCACGTAAGGAGATATGTTCCCCCAAACCTGTTTCTCATAGACTTCCGCATGATTCCACCATACATACACTGACATCCAGAACCTTAGAAATCATTACCTCTATATCTAATCTGTCAGCCTTTGGTTCTAACTCAAAAATGCAGCCCCAAATCTGTCGGATTTCTTCATTCCATCATTGCCACCTTAATCCAAGTCCCTGTCATCTGTCCTTTACACTGTTGCAGACCTCTTCAATGAGCTTCCTTCTCCGTTCCTCCCCACTATAGGCCCATCCTCCAGACAGAAGCCAGAGGTGGTTTTGTGTCAGTTTTTATGTAAATAATAATATGTCACTCCTTTGCTTAGAACCCTCCATTGACTTCCTTAGTACTTGAAAGAAAAATCTAACTCCTTCATGGTCTAAATGTCCTGGCCACTGCGTGACTCTGCCCTCCATAGCCCGTCCTCTCCCTCACCACCCTTGGACTGTATGGATCTCATTTTTGTTCCTCGAATGCATCAACCTCATTCCTGGAGATTTCAGCAATTACCACCTCTTCCCTCAACCCGTGACACTCTGATCACTCTCACATCACTCTGTTTTATTATTTTCCCACTATATGTCACTCTTTGAATGTATTTTTTCCTTAATTAGTCTGTGTGTCTTTCCTAAAAATATGGACAGTGTCTCCTTTTTTCAGTTTACTGCTGGTCCTAGCATCTGGAGTGGTGCGTAGATGTTTGTTGAAAATACAATTAAACAAAAGAACAAAAAGAAATAATCATTGTAATTGTTTACTATTTTGTTTCCTTTTGATAATTTTCCTTGTGATAATTTTAATATCTGATTTTAGCAAAATCAAATGAACCTCTTAAAATAACCTATTTAAAGAAACATTATTAAAGCATGTAAAGCCCAATAACTGAAATGTTTAATCCTTGATTAGTAGAGTCTTGTCCTGTAATCATGAGGTAAGCACTGGACACCTCCAATAACTGACAGTTGATTAACATATTGTAATCTAAATTATTTTCATGTTGTATATGCAGTCCCCAAATGCCTCATTTAAGCCAAAACTAGTATCCTTATTAGTATTATCAGCATTTCCACATAGTGTTTTAGAGCCTACCAGATACACATCAGGGAGATCATATATACTTGCCAAAGTATATTAGCCATATATAAAACGGAGGAAAGTAGGTGCTGTCAATGAGTAGCAGCAGCAAGGTTGAAATGGTGGGCATAAAAGAAGAACATATAATCCTTTAATTCTTCATGAGAGACTGAAGACATAGACTGCTTTGGGATTTAATTCATTAACATCTTCTGTCTGGAGTGCTCTTAAATGGATTTTTAAATAAATGAGTACTCCTGGCTGTTTTATGAAACAGTGGCAGATCCGTGAGGTCAGTGGGCAGATCTGTATTAACAAGGATGTGGATTTGTTTACATGGAAGCAAAGCAATAGGTTATAATTAAGAATCTGACTTACTCTAAACAGTTTGCATGTCTGAGCATAACATGTAAAAGATTGGAATTATTTGATTTCCAGATTGAAGACTATGATGTGATAGCTAGCATGATAGGAGCCAAGTGTAAAAAACTCCGGACCCTGGATCTGTGGAGATGTAAGAATATTACTGAGAATGGAATAGCAGAACTGGCTTCTGGGTGTCCACTACTGGAGGAGCTTGACCTTGGCTGGTGCCCAACTCTGCAGAGCAGCACCGGGTGCTTCACCAGACTGGCACACCAGCTCCCAAACTTGCAAAAACTCTTTCTTACAGCTAATAGATCTGTGTGTGACACAGACATTGATGAATTGGCATGTAATTGTACCAGGTTACAGCAGCTGGACATATTAGGTAAGGTTACAATATATAAATTTGTTTTAAATGTCTGTTTCCTTGACAGAAAAGCCAATCTCAGACTTTTTGTTAGGAAAAAGAAAATTTTTGGATACAATAAAAATTTTATCCTGATAAGATGGCTTGGTTTGATAGGAAATGCAAGATAGATCAGTTAATATAGGGAATAATTATATATGTACTTTAATAAAATAGTGAGGACAATAACAATTTTATAGTTGAAACTGTAAAAAACTATAACCATTAATTCTTGGTCTACTTGTAAGAGTGAGAATTTACATGAGCTGCGCTCTCTATTTTTATTAAGGAGAGAAGAAATTAATTCATTTGTATAATGAATTCAAGCTAGTTTTTTTTAAGTTTCTTAATTAAAATTCTTGATTAAGGAATATCGTGAAATCTTTATCCCTGATAATTCTAGCGTTTAGGAATAGTTCTACCCCAGGCAGATCTATTGAAAATCTTTTCCAGCTCTGGGATTTCTTGAATCCTTGCTGCATTCATCAGAAAGGAACCCTGTGTAATTTTGTTGCTTCTTACTTTTAGCCAGGGGTGCTAGCAGTGTCACAGTAGTTATCATTGTCCACACAATTGATACTTTGTGAAGTCATATCGCACTTGCACATTTTACATCAAATGCATGGTGAAAACCATTTTGAACTGGGGTGACAGAAATAGGAAAGTCTGGAGGAGCTGATTTGAAGGGGTAGGAGGTAGGAATGAAGATAGTGGGTAGGATATTGGCAAGATTCAGGTCCTAGATGCTAAATTGGCTGGAAAATTCAACTTTTACTTTTTTAACAGAACCATTTCAATATGAAGTCATGTTTGAAAAAATGATTTTAATTTGTAAAGGGTTATTTTAAGTTCATTACAAACAATAAATCATGGATGGATTCATTGTTAGCACATTATATAAATGTTATACTTAAGGTGTTTTGTTTTGTTTTGTTTTGTTTCCCTTAAATAGGAACAAGAATGGTAAGTCCGGCATCCTTAAGAAAACTCCTGGAATCTTGTAAAGATCTTTCTTTACTTGATGTGTCCTTCTGTTCGCAGATTGATAACAGAGCTGTGCTAGAACTGAATGCAAGCTTTCCAAAAGTGTTCATAAAAAAGAGCTTTACTCAGTGACTTAATATATGTTCTGTATTAAAATTAATGTGCTTTGTTGGGGTTTAATTTTGGGATTGGTTTTGGGTTTTGTTTTTAGTTGTTTTAATGGTAAGAATTAAGACATTTGTAGATTTTAAAGAAAAATATGAAATTGTCCATTAAATCAAGTAAAAATGTGCACAAATGTTTTCATAAAATACTGCAAGCACTTCTCTTCAAGAATATGAGTGGATATTATTTTTACCTTATGTTAATCAGTGATATGCTTTAGTCAATAATATGATTGATAAAAGAATAACATGGAATCATGCTAACTTATTTTCAAAGGAACACTGAGCAATAAAGTATCGTGGCATTTATGCAAAAAAAAAAGTTAATTTTTTACACCTTCATGTAAGGATGTCTTATTAAGCCTGTGACCTGGCAAGTGTTTTGTTTGGTATGTACAAAATGGTCAGAGCTAGTTGGAGAATGAGACATGCTTTTCCAGCTGTTTGGTTATTTCTCTGGATTAACTGTTCAACTGGAAAATTTTTAGTTTTTCTAGCCAGGTGTGGTGGCACACACTTGTAGTCCTAGCGACACAGGAGGTGGAGGCAGGAGGATTACTTGAGATGGGATTTTGAGACTCTAGTGTACTTATGATTGCACCTGTGAGCAGCCACTGCACTCCAACCTGGGCAATATAGCAAGTCCCTTTCTCTTAAAAAAAATTGTAGTGTTTCCACTTTTCTTCTGATATTTTTGTCTATTTCACTACTGGATAATGCCAATATAAAAATTTGGGTATAATCAAGAATAAGAGGTAAACTACTAAATAAAAAAAGCTTTCCAACTGTTAGAAGCAGATGCCTTAACATTTTGTGAAAGGTAAAGTTTTGAGGTTTCTGAATTATATAAAAAAACATAAATGTGGAGATATATATTATATATACACATTATATATACATATTATAGATAATATATATCCACATTTATGATTTTTAATATATACATGTATATATTATATATTATATAATTATATATTACATTTATATTATATGTAATGTACATGTATATATTATATACATATATATAATTATATATATTATATAGAGAGAGATATATATCTTGCTAGGGTGTGTGGATGCTGGAATATAACGATTTTGCACTTAACAGGACAATGAATTTTGTTATACTACAGTTAATATTAGTTTTGTGTTCAAAACAGCTGTGCCTTTTCATGCCACAAAATATTTTCTGTCTACTTTCTGAGTAGCAGAATTAATTCATTTTTTTAACAAAACGATGTATGTCAAGTGTTCAGTAGTCACATGAGGAGAATGCTTCCTTTGTGCCTGGCACTGTTTCTTGTGCTTTGCATTGACTAATTCAATTCTCACAACAACCCTGTAAGATAAATGCCATTACTTACCCCCATTTACAGATGAGGAAACTGAGGCAAAGAAAGATTGAAGAATTTATTTATGATCATACAGCTGCTAGTGGCAGAGCCAACATATAAACCCAGGCCATCTGGCTTCTGAAGCATTGCATTAAACCTGTGCTTTTAGGTGTTCAGGGTAGCTTCTGGCTCTAGGGCAGAGGTCAGGAAACTTTTTCTATAAAGGGCCAGATAGTAAATATTTTAGGCTTTGTGGGCTAAGAGGTAAAACTGAGATTGTTATGTAGATACTTAAATAACTAGAGAGAAATAAAATTTGCACGAAAATTTTATTGACAAAATTCAAAACAATAATTTAGAACAATTTTTTTTGTAATACGGGTTTACTAATGAAAAGAATTAAATATTTACAGGGAGGATCAAAGTTAATGTTTCGTGTCATTAAAGTTGATTGTAAGTACTCATTTGTTAATGCTGATCTGTAATAAGATTTTATGTATTTTACTTCTGAAAATTCCTTGCAGATAGGTATTGTCAAATACTTACATTAATCCATGAGAATATGATTTTTGTTGAGCATATTCATCACTTGAAAGGTTACTTCTTCTCTGGATATTTTCCTTTTAGCATGTTATTACATTGCAGCTTAATCACTTCCAATTGAAGACTAGGCAGAAGCTCCTCAATTGCACTGTTAAATTGATTTTGAAAAATGGAAATTTCCTTTACATTTGCAAACTCCAAAAAATACTGCAGGCACTATGGTGTGAGCTACAAATTTGTGTGAGAGTGGAGATCTCGCTTCTTTGTCTTACCTTTTGATAGCACAGGAAATGTGTAAAGCAGCTTGTTGTTACTTGTAATTCAAACAATGTTGTCATCAAAATGACTTATGTTTTGCTTGTAAACACGTTTTGCCTTGTAATTTTGGCTTGAATTCATTTCAAAATTTTATTAAGTCTTGAGCAAAAGCTAAATTCCAAAGCCATTCAGTGTTCCATAATAGTGATTGAGGACATGTCTTCTTTTTCAGAAAAATGTCAATATCAGCCCTGAACGCAAAAGCTCACAATAGAACTAACACTATTATGCCAATGTGGTTGGGCAAATCAGCATATTCATCTTCTGTATCTGACAAAAGATAACTGAACCATTGATGTTTAATCTATCAGAAACTATGAGAGCAAATGAAGTTCACCATTGCTACCAGTAGTTCAGTAATACAAAATTGAATCAAATATATCCCACAAAGTACCTGCTGATGAATAATACAGTAAATAACCATAGATTTTAAATACCTTCTTACCTTTTCACAGGCTTTATAAATTTGACAAACGTAATCATTTTGCTTCACACATTTTTAACACCACCAGTTGTAACACATCTTAGCAGATTCTACTTCAGGTTGCATGAAATTTGTGTTTTCTTCTTATAAAATATTCATGCTTGTAATTGTGCCACACAGATAATTCATAGAGACTAATTTCAGTCACTTCAACGTTGGCATTGACTTATCAAATAAGCAATAACTAGGCAGTGTCAGTAACATCTGTTGACTCATCAAGAGCCAAGGAAAACCACTCAGGGTCATTTGCCTTGTTTTTTATTGACTGTTGATGTTGTTCCCAGTGTTCTCAATTCTTTAAGCAACCATTCTTGCCAAAAGGCTAATTTAATAGTCTTAAGTTTACTTTGGACACAGTCCTTCAGCCGATAGAATCAAACACAATTTAGTTATCGTTAGTAAAATGTTTTCCTTGCTTGGTTAACATCTGAGTCACTTTGGCTGCAACTTTATTTTCATTTTTGAGTTTGTTTTTTTTTTTTTTTGAGACTGAGTCTCATTCTTTTGCCCAGGCTGGAGTGCAGTGGCACAATCTCAGTTCACTGCAACCTCCACCCTGCAGGTTCAAGCGAGTCTCCTGCCTCAGCCTCCCAAGTAGCTGAGATTACAGGCACATGCCACCACACCTAACTAATTTTTATGTTTTTAGTAGAAATGGGGTTTTACCATGTTGTCCAGGCTGGTCTTGAACTCCTGACCTCAAGTGATCCACCCACTTCAGCCTCCCAAAATGCTTGGATTACAGGCATGAACCACTGCATCTGACCTCCCTATAGTATTCTTTAAGAACAGCTATAATGACATTGCATATTAAACATCATACTCTGACATCTAATCTGATTTTTAAAAATTCATATACTAATGTGCCTTAAAAATGTCACTTCAAGTCTACTTTTCTTTTTTTCTCTTGTTTTGATGTTATGGGTAAGCACTAGTAATAAAAAATTTAAAAATATTGTGGTATGACAACATATGTGGCACTCAAAATGCTGGTAACTGCATTACTGCAGTTTTTAGTGTGCCAAGTAGCAGTGCAAAATGATGACAGCACCACATAAGTCTCCTTTGCATTTGTTCAACTCTGCCATTCTAATGTGAAAGCAATCATAGACAGTACCTAAACGAATGAGTGTGGCCATGTTCCAATAAAATTTCATGAGCACTGAAAGTTGAATTTTACATAATTTTGATGTGTTACAAAATACTACTGTGTTAGCCATTAGATTTTTTCAGCCATTAGAAAATGTGAAACTGTTCTTATGAGCTGGCTGGATTTGGCTTGTGGACCAAATTTGTGACCCCTATTCCAGAGTATTTTCGAGTCAGTTAATCCATGTTTGCCCATTCCTAATTTTATAAACCACATTCAAACCTGTTAATTCGCTGTTATCATTCTCATTTTGCCATTTAGATTTTAAAATGAAGAGCAGTGTTTTGTTAGAAAAAACAAAATGTTTACCATAACAAGAAAGATGTGTAGACAAGAAAGATATTTATGTAGACTCTTTGTTTGTTAAATTTTGAAGCCAGGTGATGCATTGTTAGCTTTGACAACTGACTTAAATTTTTGTATAATTATTTATCTTTGCATTTTGCTCAGGTAAATTATCTTCCCAGAGTCTAGAAATAAAGATATCCCTGATCCTGTTTAAGAGCATAAATAATACTCTCAATGTAAATTGTTTTGAAATAAGATCTTAAAAATACAAAATGTAGACAATTAATATTCAGGTGCTTACTTTTGAGCCAATATGTAGCAGAGAAAAACTAATTTCTCTGTGGCAGTATTTTTATTTTTGGCATTTCCCAGGAATTAACTGAAGACTAAAACTCATATGTGAAGTGTAATGATACTAATCAAAGAGTCAGTAAAATTTCCATTTGGCTACCATGTATGTGTGTATATATTTATGTATGTATGTGTGTGTTACATATTTGAGACAGGGTCTCACTCTATTGCCCCAGGCTGGAGTGCAGTGGCATGATCTCAGCTTACTGCAGCCTCAGTCTCCCAGGCTCAAGCGATCCTCCCACCTCGGCCTCCCGAGTACCTGGGACTACAGACACCACCACACCTGGCTAATTTTTTTATTTTTTATAGAGACACAGTCTTTCCATGTTGCCTATGTTGGTCTTGAACTCCTGGGCTCAAATAATTTTCCCACCTTGGCCTCCTGTAGTGCTGGGATTACGGGCATAAGCCACTGTGTCAGGCCCCATGTATGTTAATAGTGAATGTTTGGCTTTTCATTTGTTACTTTCAGCTATTAAAGGATACCTATTACAGACACAGGAATTTACATTTTCAAAGTCATTTTTGACACATCAGTGCTGCATCTACTTTTCTCCTTTTAGCACATTTGATATTGATACTTCAGAGAAACTTTTTTAACTACCCTTAAAATCTTGTCAATGACCATTAACTGCCAATCATCACCTCATTTGCTTTTTTTGACAACATACTACTAGAAACCTAGGCTGTGAGTGTAAAACCATAACTGTTAGAATCATTTTTTTGGCAATAGCTCACATTCTGTTAAGAGTCATTTGCTTTAATCAAAGATCATGATTTATTATATATTTTTTATAAGTAGGGATGGGGCCAAGATTATTCCTTTGGCACAGCAGTAAGTGTGCTCAAGATCTTTGCCTGTAAGCTTGAATATTTGGCTTAAATTTTGTGCATATGAATACTGTTAAAGGTATATTTGACTACATTTTGAAAGGAAAAAGGTAGTCCTGCTAAAATTGACATTTAGGGATATTTTAATCTATGTATTTGGTAAAGTAATTAGTGAAGTATTAGTTATAAAAATTTTAAGGAAAACATTTAAAAGCAAAATAGTCGTATCAGATAAATAGAGTAGAATACACTAAAGATAAAACAAGTCTCTGTTACAAATGAAGTTGTCTGTACAGACGACTGAGATATTTTAATTTTATTTACATAAAAATGCTGTTCAATATCTAATGATTTCTGTTGTTTGTATTCTGTACTTTAGAGTAATAAAATAAGTTTGAGTATCTCATTAGTTCACTTTCAAAATTGATCATTTCAGGGCACTGCTGAATATAATGGAAGGTTTGGGTAAATAGGTTTGCGTCACAGCCCCTGTGAAATTACCAGCCTAGATGAGGAGCCATCCGCCTGTGTACAGAACTCTTTTTTTTTTTTTTTTCATTTCTCTCTCTATATATTTTTTATTATTATTATACTTTTAAGTTTTAGGGTACATGTGCACAATGTGCAGGTTAGTTACATATGTATACATGTGCCATGCTGGTGCGCTGCACCCGCTAACTCGTCATCTAGCATTAGGTATATCTCCTAATGCTATCCCTCCCCCCTCCCCCCACCCCACAACAGTCCCCAGAGTGTGATGTTCCCCTTCCTGTGTCCATGTGTTCTCATTGTTCAATTCCCACCTATAAGTGAGAATATGCGGTGTTTGGTTTTTTGTCCTTGCGATAGTTTACTGAGAATGATGATTTCCAATTTCATCCATGTCCCTACAAAGGACATGAACTCATCATTTTTTATGGCTGCATAGTATTCCATGGTGTATATGTGCCACATTTTCTTAATCCAGTCTATCATTGTTGGACATTTGGGTTGGTTCCAAGTCTTTGCTATTGTGAATAGTGCCGCAATAAACATACGTGTGCATGTGTCTTTATAGCAGCATGATTTATAGTCCTTTGGGTATATACCCAGTAATGGGATGGCTGGGTCAAATGGTATTTCTAGTTCTAGATCCCTGAGGAATCGCCACACTGACTTCCACAATGGTTGAACTAGTTTACAGTCCCCCCAACAGTGTAAAAGTGTTCCTATTTCTCCACATCCTCTCCAGCACCTGTTGTTTCCTGACTTTTTAATGATTGCCATTCTAACTGGTATGAGATGGTATCTCATTGTGGTTTTGATTTGCATTTCTCTGATGGCCAGTGATGGTGAGCATTTTTTCATGTGTCTTTTGGCTGCATAAATGTCTTCTTTGAGAAGTGTCTGTTCATGTCCTTCGCCCACTTTTTGATGGGGTTGTTTGTTTTTTTCTTGTAAATTTGTTTGAGTTCATTGTAGATTCTGGATATTAGCCCTTTGTCAGATGGGTAGGTTGTGAAAATTTTCTCCCATTTTGTAGGTTGCCTGTTCACTCTGATGGTAGTTTCTTTTGCTGTGCTGAAGCTCTTTAGTTTAATTAGATCCCATTTGTCCATTTTGGCTTTTGTTGCCATTGCTTTTGGTGTTTTAGACATGAAGTCCTTGCCCATGCCTATGTCCTGAATGGTAATGCCTAGGTTTTCTTCTAGGGTTTTTATGGTTTTAGGTCTAAAGTTTAAGTCTTTAATCCATCTTGAATTGATTTTTGTATAAGGTGTAAGGAAGGGATCCAGTTTCAGCTTTCTACATATGGCTAGCCAGTTTTCCCAGCACCATTTATTAAATAGGGAATCCTTTCCCCATTGCTTGTTTTTCTCAGGTTTGTCAAAGATCAGATAGTTGTAGATATGCGGCGTTATTTCTGAGGGCTCTGTTCTGTTCCATTGATCTATATCTCTGTTTTGGTACCAGTACCATGCTCTTTTGGTTACTGTAGCCTTGTAGTATAGTTTGAAGTCAGGTAGTGTGATGCCTCCAGCTTTGTTCTTTTGGCTTAGGATTGACTTGGCAATGCGGGCTCTTTTTTGTTTCCATATGAACTTTAAAGTAGTTTTTTCCAATTCTGTGAAGAAAGTCATTGGTAGCTTGATGGGGATGGCATTGAATCTGTAAATTACCTTGGGCAGTATGGCCATTTTCACGATATTGAGTCTTCCTACCCATGAGCATGGAATGTTCTTCCATTTGTTTGTATCCTCTTTTATTTCCTTGAGCAGTGGTTTGTAGTTCTCCTTGAAGCGGTCCTTCACATCCCTTGTAAGTTGGATTCCCAGGTATTTTATTCTCTTTGAAGCAATTGTGAATGGGAGTTCACTCATGATTTGGCTCTCTGTCTGTGTACAGAACTCTTAACAATCCATCCACATGCTATAAAATGACATCAACTTGGGTGCATTTTAAACCCTGAGATTACAGGAGTCTGCAACTACACTCTAAACCCTGAGATTACAGGAGTCTGCAACTACACTCTGTTATTTATTTCTGCCTTCTCAATAATTCCTCCAAATTAAGATTTACTTAAAAGTTTGATTTGCTACTTAAACCAAAATTTGATACAGTGTTTTCCTCCTTTTACTCATAAAGTATCATGTATTTGCCTTTTGTAGAAACCAATCCCTTCATTACTATAGTTCTTCAGTTGTTCCACAGTTCTTAGGCCCAAACTACTTTTGGTGAGCTAGGATGGAATGAATGACACAAGGTAAAACACCCGTCCATCTGTTTAATCGATATATATTGACAACAATAATACATTGATAGCTTTGAGCTAGGCACAGTTGAGGTAAGGGTGCTGGGTATAGAAAAGGCATATAAACAACCACAGAGCAATTTCCCAAAATGGTTATGTATCAAGACATTTAGGTTTCTTTACTGCTAAACTTCAGGGACTTTAAAAGGCTAATGGACACTGTGAAGGTGAGTTAAGATTTGTACTGTTTCCCAGACTTCTGTGAATATCTATCAACTTCTCTTAGAAATTAGTTTTTCAGAGCACAGTTTGGAAAATGCCACTAACAGCACTATAGGATGTATTATGAAAAGTATTCACTAAGGTCACTTTTAACCTTCTCGTTAAAGATTATGCATTGTAATTTTGTTTCTTTTAAAAGTATTTCTTATTAAGAAGAATCCTTGGAAGTTACTGATACTTTGGTGATGTGATTTTAAAAATATTTTTGAGCATGACTGCTTTTTATTTTGACCCTTAATTTCTAAGTCCAATTTTTATTAATGTATTAGATTTTTAGAATATTCATTTACTTTTAGTATCATAAAATTCTGTGAAATACAACTCATAGTCTAGTAATTGGGAATACCGTAAGGGCCTGCTGTTCCAGCTGATGATTTTAATATGAATATCTGTATATAGGATTTAACTGTCAAGTTGCTTTAATTAATATTTATTATGTTGTGCTGGTCCATAAACTATTTTAACCATCCATTGTATAGTAATAGAAAAAAGTAGAAATTTTAGATTAACTTCTGATAAGTGACTTTTTAAATTGTTTAATATGTAACTTTTTTTAAAAAGTATAGTAAAAATTCACTGCTAGCATCTGTTTTGCTAAAGTCTGAGAATGAAGGAAAAGGGGTAGTTTATCATGAGAATCATTTCTTTACAAATAAATACTTTAAATGTGAACCCTATTATATGTATAGTCATACATATATATATACACGTATATATATATATACACACCTACAATTACTTATTTCTTCTCCAGTAAATATATGCTAATTTTGTTAAACTTTTTTTTAGTGGGAAGTTATATTTCTATAGCATATTTATAAATTGCTGCTAAGATTACAACAACCAAGGCAAGAGAACTGTTAATACTAACATAAATTCTGACACACCATTCTTCTTACTTGATATGTTTTTTGCTGACAGATAACCCGCATAGAGTCAATATTGTTGAAGCCCTAGTAACTTCATTTGAAAGTCATAAAATAACTCCATCCAGTAAAACCTAAAATAAACGTTCTTAAGTCCTAATAATCAGAAATATTTGTCAAATTGAAAGAATTTACAATGTGTGTCCCTATCATATGTTATCCTCACTGTCAGCAGGGTATGTCTGGACATGTGCACAGAAAAGAGAAACACTTAGATTGAGGACGGTTCTGCCTTTGTCTTTCAAAGTGCCTTCCGCTTTACAATCTATACAGATTCCTTGCAAAATCAAGAGTCTTATTCATTTCCTGCTCTAGGTGCATCCATTTTACCAGGGCCTAGAGTATGAATGGAAAGTGCTCCTGGAGCATCATCAGGCCACATTCCTCGGTGCCTTCAGCCCTTCTAAACCTGTGTAGCAAGCCACTAGCCTCAGTTCTCCGTAGCCTTAAATCTCGCCTCATAAACCATCTGGGCGATTAAAAAAATATTTTAAACATTAAAATACCAAGTGCCAAAGAAGGTGAATTTCTTAAGCCTAGTGGTACACTGATAAGTGGTTAGCTACCAACTCTTGGGAGAAAAAAGCTCCAGTTTGTAGTGCTTCCCAATTTTTGTCATGTAATACTCCCATCTGTCTGATTTCAAGCTATCAATGTGAAGTCACTTAATGCTGAGTTGGAATGAGACGCACATACTTTGCTCTTTTGAGATGATATGAACTGGCTCCAGGTCCCCTCTGCCAGATAAAGTTATTAAACATTGATCCCATAATTTCTGAAAAATAGGCATAATAAGCTATAGCTGGCTTTCCCTCAGAGGTGGTATTATGTGTAGTTAAATGGTCCTTCAAAATCTATGAAATTCCTATTTGCCATCGAATACATTATAAGAATACAATTAAAAGAAATTTTCTAAACATTCAATAATCATGTAAGAAAATTAAGCATATTAAGAAAAGCTTTGAAAAATTTTATAAGAAGCAAATTATTTTGCTGATGTAAATCTGACATAAATCATATACATTGACAAGAGCATTGTATGTTTATGGGATTATAAGTTTTTAAAGAGTTTCCCTGTATTTCCATGGCTTTGAAAATTATATCCCCAGATAAATTGTGGCATTTCCTTTGTGCATGTTGGTGCAATTTTACATTATGAAATTGTCATGTAGATTCATTACACCTATTTTCCAAACAAAAATGACCATAATTCAAATATGTACCTATCATATACCAAGTTCTAAACTGTATAAAAACATTCTATCACTAATGTATTTGCAGGCACATTAATAAGATATTTACCCATTTTTATAACAAAGATTCTTGGTCAGAAAAACCTCAGAATTTTTACTTTTGATAATCTTTCTGTTTCAGGTACCAGACTTTTAATCCAGATTTGGGAGCATATATGTATTAGCTTTTATTAGAGTACAATGGGTAACAAACTACCTCAACTGTTTCAGTAGCTTTCAACAACATATATTTTTCATTGTGTGGCTTGTTGGCTACTGTGGGTTAATTGCTCTGGCTGCACTTCAGGATGTGATTCAGGTTCAGGTTTACTCTATTCAGGCCCTGGGCTGAAAGAGAAGGTCCTACCTGGGCTATGCCCTTGTAGTGGCAGAGGGCACTAAAGCAAGAGAACTGGCAGCACTGGGAAATGCATTGAAAAGCTCATCAAGTCTGTTTGCATTGTGTTGACCAAGCAAGTCATGTGGCTAAACCCAGTCATTGGTCAGCAAAGCTACTCTTCCTATAGGGAACTATTGTAAGTCACATCCAAAGGTTTTGGGAACAAATAATTCTGAATAATAATACCCAAGGTACTACAATGTACTACAAATATTTCAGCTTTCTGTAAGTAGCCAAAATATCTTAATATAAAACAAAATAACCTCTTAATTTTAAAAAAATAAGTATAATATTGAATACACTGGTTTAGGTTCAGAATTTTTAGAAAGATCCTCACTGTAAGATTTTCCCAAATAATCACCTAATTCCATGGGAAATAAAAAATAGGATAAACTAATAGAAATATTTCTGAAACAAGAGTCATGAGGAATCCATAATCAACTGTGCTACCTTTTGACTATTTAACTTTGCATCTCAACTTCCTCATCTGTAAACTAAGAAAGTTGTTCCACACTTTTACACTGTTGGCGAGACTGTAAACTAGTTCAGCCATTGTGGAAGTCAGTGTGGTGATTCCTCAGGGATCTAGAACTAGAAATACCATTTGACCCAGCCATCCCATTACTGGGTATATACCCAAAGGATTATAAATCATGCTGCTACAAAGACACATGCACACGTATGCTTATTGCGGCACTATTCACAATAGCAAAGACTTGGAACCAACCCAAATGTCCAGCAGTGATAGACTGGATTAAGAAAATGTGGCACATATACACCATGGAATACTATGCAGCCATAAAAAATGATGAGTTCATGTCCTTTGTAGGGATATGGATGAAGCTGGAAACCATCATTCTCAGCAAACTATCACAAGGACAAAAAACCAAACACCGCATGTTCTCACTCATAGGTGGGAATTGAACAATGAGAACACATGGACACAGGAAGGGGAACATCACACTTTGGGGCCTGTTGTGGGGTGGGGGGAGGGGGGAGGGATAGCATTAGGAGATATACCTAATGTTAAATGACAAGTTAATGAGTGCAGCACACCAACATGGCACATGTATACATATGTAACAAACCTGCACGTTGTACACATGTACCCTAAAACTTAAAAGTATAATAATAATAAAAAAATAAAAATTGTTCCAAAAGCTTTCTGAGGTCATTCTCAGTGTAAAGGTCTCATTCTAATGCTTTTTTATTGTCACCTAATTAACAAAGCATATCCTTCTGCAATTTTTATTATAGTTTAGCTCAGTTTTTCTTAGAATTATGGCAGAGCAATAAAACTTTAATTTTCTTTTATTCAAATCCCTCTTCAAAAATGGATTTGAGATAAAGTAATAAGATATGATCTTCCTTGTTTTTACTTAGTATTCAAATAGTGGAACCTAGCTTTAAAATAGTCAAGTCACTAAAATACTCTTCCTTTACAGTGAGAGTCACTGATACAAACATGTATGTGTAAGAACCATGTGGAAGCTTGTTTAAAATGTAAATTTCCAGTCCACAAACGCCTGGAGATTCTGATACTACAAAGAACCCAGAAAACTACATTTTTAACAAGTACCCCAGGTTTCCAAAGTGACCTAAGCAGTACAAACCATATAAATTATTTTGGTAATAGTGGGGAAAAAAAAACTTTCACATGCTGGGATACTACATACTTAGTATAATTAAAATTAGTTGTTAATACCATGTGTCTCATTGGTGTTTGTATTTTATCTTTATGAATTAATTTTTGTCACTACATTTAGTGTATTGGACTATACACTAGTCCAGTGCTATAAATTATCACTATAAGTGATGGTATTATGTTTGTATATAAATTTTAGAAATGTAGAAACCAAAATACCTTAATGTTTGAAATGAAAGTGCTTTGATTAGTATTAGCATTCCCCAGAAACATACAGGGTAGGTCAATCTCAGAATGAAATACTATGAAATGAGAACTACTGTTGAGTTATTACATCCAATCTCTTTGCTTCTTCCTTGTTTCCTTACAATCTAGTGCTCCTTTTAAAACATAGTCAGATTATGTCATTTCTGTGCCTAAAACCCTTCCGAATAAAAACCAAAGCCCTTTATCTTTGCTACCTGTAAAACTTATGTCCACAGCTCCTTCCCCTACCCCTATCCCCACCCCCAGCTCTCTGTACTATGCTCCTTGCTGAAATGCTCCGCTTAAAGTGCTCTTCCCCATATATCTTCACCACTCCAGGTCTCACTTTTTTCAGGTGTCTGCTCAAATATTGCCTATGCACAGAGGCCTTTATTGACCACCCAAAATAAAACAGCATATTCCCCTCTCCTCATCAATCACTAGCCCTTGTAACTTGCTATATTTTTATTTATAGCACTTATAACTATTTGACATGTTTTCGTTTGTGTCCACTCCTCTATAATTTTAAGCTCCTCAAGCACAAGGACTTTTGTCTTGGCACTGCTATATTGCCAGGACTTAGAATAGTGTCTGGCACATAGTAGGTACTCAATAAATAATTGTTTGACAAATACTGGTGATTATCCACAGCTTGGCCTGTCTCCAGTATAAGGCAAGGCTATTAAAATCCAAATTTTATAAAGTAGGCAATGTTTTTAAAGGCAGTTTTATTTTCTGTTAATTTCCCATCTATTTTGAAAGTCATTTTAATTTATTACTTTCAGAATTATCCCTTTTGCAAACTCTATTCTTTCCATCTTTTTCTTGTCTGTTTTTCAAATATATGAGATAATTTATTTTGAATTATGGCAATTGAAAGTTGATATTTAATTTCAACGGGTTTTAATTACTTATTTGAAATACGAAACTCCAACTATGAATTCAATGTAGTGAAAGGCACCAGATTTACATTCCCATAAAACTGAACACTTGACTTTCATGGCGTACATATATGGGAAAGGTGTATGGATGGCTAATAACATTCAGGATTTCCTCTGAAAACTAGAAATCTTCTTGATTAAAAAACTGACTAAAAGAATAATTTGGCCAGGTGCAGTGGCTCATGCCTGTAATCCCAGCACTTTGGGAGGCTGAGGTGGGCAGATTGCTTGAGCCCAGGAGTTTGAGACCTGGCTGGGCAACATGGTGAAACCCTGTCTCTACAAAAAAATAACAAAAATTAGCTGGGCCTGGTGGCACACACCTGTGATCCCAGCTATTTGGGAGGCTGAGGTGGGAGGATGGCTTGAGCCAGGAGGCAGAGGTTGCAGTGAGATCACGCCACTGCACTCCAGACTGGGTGACAGAGCGAGACCCTGTCTAAAAAAAAAAAAAAAAAAAAGAATTTGTTCCTCAGCATCCTCTGATACATGTACTCCAACACCACCATATGTACTGGTAGAGGTTATTATGCCATAAAGATATTCCTGTCTGTAATAAAACCAAGGTTATTTAGACAAAAGGTTCAAAGGACTTTGAAAATTGAAGGGAAAAAAAGTAGCTGTTGTATTAAATATTTTTAGTAAAAAAAGATTGAACCACATTAAAACTGTCCACTTTTTAGGACATTTCTCACTCTGTGGCCCAGACTTTTCTGCTTATTACTTTACACCTGCTCTAGTGCTTGGAAATGCCCATGTGTCTACACGCTGTCAAATGACCTACAGATCTGCTTGGGCTAATGCTCAAGTAACACCTGTCTTAAGACCTTAAGCTCAGCACCAAACAGTTGAGTAGTAGACCCAGCAGTTTCTCCAAATGATGTACAGCTTTAGAGTCCAGTGAGATCCAGCTATGGAATCTCCTATGTTAGCACACAGAAAAGTCAATTCCCTCAAAATATGGTTTGTTCTTGTGTCATTTTATTACCAGTCGACATACCCTAAATTATCACGTAAGATTCCAGCTTTTATGTAATCATACCTAGTGGCAAGTTCATTACATTGGACCACTTCTATCATAGAAGGGGCAGCATTTTGTTCTTTCTGGAATAAACACTTTGGATGTGGATTTGCCTTCCCCGCACACAATGCTTCTGCCAAAACTACCATCTGTGGACTTATGAAATGCCTTATCTGCCATCATAGTATTCCATAAAGCATTACTTCTGATCAAACAAGGCTCATGAGATTCACTGGTCTTACCATGTTTCACACCATCCTGAAGCATCTGGCTTGATAGAGTGGTGGAATGGCCTTTTGAAGGTCAGTTACAGTGCCAGCTAGGTGGCAATACTTTGCAGGACTGGAGCAGGGTTCTCTGGGAGGCTGGGTATGCTCTGAATCAGTGTCAATATATGGTCCTGTTTCTCCCATAGCCAGGATACACAGGTCCAGGAATCAATGGGAGGAAATGGAAGTAGCACTGCTTGCTTTTACCCCTAGTGACCCATCAGCAAAATTTTTGCTTTCTATGACCTTATACTCTGCTGGCCTGGAGGTCTTATTTTTAAAAGGAGGACAGCTTCCACCAGGAGGAACAATTATTCCATTGAACTGGAAATCAAAACTGCCACCTGGCCCTTTGAGGTTCCTTATGCCTTTGAGTCAACAGACAAAAAAGGGCGTTGTGATGTTGGCTGGAGTGATTGATCCTGATTACCAAGGGGCAACTGGACTACTAATGGAAGTAAGGAAGCGTATGTCTGGAAGACCCCTTAGGGCTGGCTCTTAGTATTACCATGCTCTGTGATTACGGTCAATGGAAACACAAAACAACCCAATCTAGCAGAACTACGAATATCCCAGACTTCA